>NC_000003.12:128402543-128554058 GCF_000001405.40 Homo sapiens | reverse complement strand
GGTGTTTGGGAACCAGTGGTTCCCTCTGGTTCCCTCTCCTGTGATTCACTTTTCGTGCTTTTTGTCTGGTCCCTGGTGATTGGTGTGTATGGTTCCTGCCTTTTTGGAAAACCAGAACTTAGGACATCTGAGTTTTAACACATTATTTACTTCTTTGCCAAATTAGTGGCAAGGCCTCGTTAGTGGACACAAGGTGTTCCACTGGAGTGTTCTGGCTGAACAGAGGCTCTGGTCATCAGGGAGCTTCTGTGACCTCTCCAGCTCCTCTGTGAGCCTGTTCCTCCCTTCCTCTCTTGCTTACTCAGCTTCAAGCCACACGGCCACACCGGGGCATGTAGCTGTGTCTGCTCCCTGGACACAGTGATTTCCTTACCACACCAAGGGCTTTGCCCTCTGTTCGCTCTGCCTGGACTGTGTTCTTAGTTGCCCACAGTGGTCTCCTTTTGCTCTTCATTCACTTCCTTTTTTTTTTTTTTTGAGATCGAGTCTCACTCTTGTCACCCAATCTGGAGTGCAGTGGCTCGATCTCTACTCACTGAAACCTCTGCCTCCTGGTTCAAGCGATTCTCCTGCCTCAGCCTCCTAAGTAGCTGGGATTACAGGTGCCTGTCACCACGCCCTGCTAATTTTTTTTTTTTTTTGTATTTTTAGTAGAGACGGGGTTTTGCCATGTTGGCCAGGCTGGTCTTGAACTCCAGACCTCAGGTGATCCACTCGTGTCGGCCTCCCAAAGTCCTGGGATTACAGGCATGAGCCACTGTGCCCGGCCTCTTCATTCACTTCTGAACTTCATTGTCCCCTCTTCTGAGAGGCCTTCTCCAACCATTCATTGCTTTCTATTCCAATCTCCCTCGGACTTTTCTGCAGTAGTTGTCATTTTGGAAATTATTTTATCCACTGGGTCATCCATCTCCCTTGCTGGAATAAAAGCCCCATGAGGCTTGGGGGTGTGTCTGTCTTCCCCTTGCATGCCTGATGCCAAGGTCCCCCTACGTGCTCACACATATGGCCTTATTTACCTCCTTAGATACATGGAATCTCCTTGGTCCCATCTGCCTGGGTTGAGACCTCAAGGTCATTCTTCATGGCCTCAGGCAAGCAGTGGCCGAGTCTGGCTTATTCCTCACCCCCATCCTTCCTGCTGCTCCATCCAGTGTCCTTGCCTTAGTTCCTGCTCTCATCACATCATGCAGTAACTCCGAACTAGGCCCCCGCCCCTGCCTCTACCCTGCCCTCCTCCATCCTTGGCTAGGTGATTACACTCATGCCAGTGGCTTCATCTGGAACATTATTTGGTGCCCTCTTTGCCTGATGTATTGGTTGTAGGAAACAGAAGTCACTCTAGGTGTTTTAAGTGGGAGGAGATTTAATACAGGGACTTGGGTGCTTCAATACCTGTGGAGAGGCTGGTGGACTGTGTCGAGGCTGAAGATGGTCCCAGAAAAACACTGCGGAACTGGCTTGTCAGGGGATCTGCCACCAGACCTCTGCTGTAATTGGGGAGTAGGGGAGTCATGAGATCACCATGGGAACTGCTGGTTTAAGGACATAGCATCTGAGGCCAGGTGCAGTGGCTCAGCCCTGTAATCCCAGCACTTTGGGAGGCCGAGGTGGGAAGATCCCTTAAGCCCAGGAGTTTGAGACCTGTGTTGTCAATATAGTGAAACTCTGTTTCTACAGAAAATTAAAAAAAAAAAATTAGCCAGGTGTGGTGACCCATACACCTGTGGTCCCAGCTACTCGGGAGGCTGAGGCGGGAGGATTGCTTGAGCCTGAGAGGTCAAAGCTACAGTGAGCTGCGATTGCACCACTGCACTCCAGCCTGGGTGACAGAGCAAGACACTATCTCAAAAAAGAAAAGAAAAAAAAAGAATGTAGCTTCTCAGCTATGATCCAGGGATTAGAAGCCACTTCAACTGCTGCAGCTGCTGTTGTACACCCGAGAAGCTGAAGCCAGGACCCTGGATTGTCCTTGCAGAGAGACCCACCAACTCCATGCCTCACTTACCAGCAGAAAAATCCCCCAAAGTCACGTGGAGATGGTGTCTCTCTTCCATTTGCCTTCCACATCACAAAAGTGCACATTATTGGCGGAACCTAATTTGAACTCAGTTGTGAAGGAGGCTGGGGAATGTAGTTTGTTAGTTTCCCAGCCTCTGCCTTAGGGTCTGGGACACAGAAGGAGGTGGGAGCAGACGCTGAGGGCTGGCCACCTGGCTGAGCCCTGACCCTCGTCCTGCAGGTCCAGCCAGGGGAAGCCTTTTCTGGCCCCAGTGGAGGCATTGCCCGATGAGCCCCGTCTTCTCCACAGACTGCTCGCTCTGTGAAGAAGGGACCACACCATGTCTTCCTGTTCCCCTGTGCTGGGAGGGACCCACAGGGGAACGGTCTTCAAGCCCACACTACTGCGGCAGCCCTCCCCTCTGTCCTGTGGTGTTTGCTGCCTGCATTGCCTTTCAACAGCTCCCACAGGCTGTCCTGGAGGCTTTCTGCCTCGGCAGCAGTTGTCCTTTCTCCTGGGGCTCTCGTGGGTCGACTTTTATCCCTGGTCTCTTTAGGTGCCTGCTAGGTTGCAGTAAGTCCATCCTACACAGATTTTTAAGGAAGAGCTTTTAAAAAATATTTTGCATCAGGTCGGGCGTGGTGGCTCACGCCTGTAATCCCAGCACTTTGGGAGGCCAAGGTAGGCGGATCACCTGAGGTGGAGACCAGCCTGACTAACATGGAGAAACCCCGTCTCTACTAAAAATACAAAAAATTACCCGGGTGTGGTGGCGCATGCCTGTAATCTCAGCTTTAGCTACTCGGGAGGCTGAGGCAGGAGAATCACTTGAACCTGGGAGGTGGAGGTTGCAGTGAACCAAGATTGCGCCATTGCACTCCAGCCTGGACAACAAGAGCGAAACCCCGTCTCAAAAAAAAAAAACAAAAACTATCTATCTGTCTTGAATCTTTCATGAGGCTGGGAAGGAGGATGTCCACTGGAGGGGAGAGCTCGGCTTAAACTCCAGGGAGGACATGTGAGGAGGGAGACTTCTTAGGGCGCCAGCATAAGTGGCCTGAGCAGCGGCTAGAGCAGCAAGGACCCTGCGTTGTGTCCCACGCGGGACACGCTGGCCTCTGTGCTTGTGGTTGCTGAGCTGGATGTGATCACTAAGCATGGATGATGCCCAGTATGGGTGGGCAGGGACCCCCACCCTGCACACCACATGGTTCTTCCCGGGTCAGTTAGAAATGACATGGCCTCCACCTGCCTCTCTGAGCAGCCTTGGCTGGCCCGATGGCTCTAACAGATGGATCTTTTGGCCTGAGGTCGAGGAGTTCCTGTTTCCCACCGTGATGATGTCAGCGAGTTGGGTCCTGGTGAGATGGAGGAAGGGGCTGTGGCGGTAGGGTGGAGGCTGCCCCTGCAGTGGGGCCAGTGCCCTCCCCCACCCCCTCCGCGGCTTGCCCCGCTCTCCTTCTCACTCACCCGGTCCTGGTGGTGCTCTGTGCCCACGCACCCTCAACTCATCCCTGTCAGCTAGCATTCTTGGGTTGTAGACAACAGAGCACCAGCTTCAAACTGGCTTCAGTGGACATTGTTTTCTGGGTGTAGCACTTTGCTTCAGGTGCAGGTGAATCCAGGCGCTCAAACAGCATCCAAGGAGCCAGTCTCTCCCCACCTGTTGGGTCTGCTCCCTTCTCCATTGGATCCACTCTCAGTACAGTTCTTCCTGTAGGTTGACAAGTGGCCTCCAGCTGCTTTAGGGCCCTCGTTCTCCCAGGTGTAAATCTTTGTCCAGGTATTGCCTGCCAGAGTCCTGATATTTGCCCAAGTTGGGCCAGCTGGGATGGCATTTCTACCCTAGGCCAGTCACTGTGGGATGGGGCACAGGATCTGAAGGTGGCAGGACCTTCATGAATGAGGAGTGGGCAGCCTGGAGCTTAGCAGTGTTTTTGGAGCAAATGCGTGCACAGACGAGTGGATGAATGAGTGAATCAACCACTCCGCCTTGAGAGAGAAACACTTCTACACTGCTTATCCCACTTGCATTCTGGATTTCTGTCCTGTAAGTTCACTTGTGTGGGGAGGGAGCCTCTCTTGGCTAAATGCCATGGGGGCTACAGAAGTCTGAGAGAGGGCCCCCTATGGAGCAGCACCGTCCCCATCCATCAGCGGGATTCTCTGCTCAGCGACCGCTTTAAACTGCCGCCTCCTTTGTCCCCTCTTATTCCAAGTATCCTTCTGGCTGAAACTACAGGTCATACAATGGGACCCTCAGCCCCAAGCACAGGCTGTAGGTGCTGGGGCCAGGCTCAAAGGAGCCCCTAGGGCACCTCCTCCAAGTCCATCCCACCCTCCCCTCTTTGTCCACGGCCACCCACCCTAGAGGCCTGCTGAGGATCGGCCGCCACCTCCTTCCCTGGCCTTCTGCCCCCACCCCCATGCCCTGGCATGTGCCAGGAAGTGCCAAGGATTCCCCATCTGTGAGAGGGGAGGCCAGTGCCCTGCCCCGAGAGGTCCACTGGCCTCCCCAGGCCCCTCCGCGCTGCCTTTCCAGAAACTCCCCAGCCTCTTCCTGCCTGGCTTCCTGCCCAAGCCCTTCCTGGAAACCAGGCCCACCCTGCCCCCAGCCCAGGGCGCCAGTATTTCCATGGGGTGATTCACACGGCCCTCCCCAGGCAGGGCCCCTCCTTCTACTCACGATACTGAAAGTTTGGAAAACAACCTGGGGGCGGGAAGGAGAGTCCAGCCACGGCCCCACCCCCACCAGACGGACCCTGCAGTCACCACAGAGTGTGAAAGACAAGAAAATAGAAACAATAGGCCATGAAAAGCAAGAAAACAGGAGACTTTCTATTTAAACGTTCATCTAAAAGAAGAAATTAATGCAGCTTTATTAAGACATAAAATGCAAATGGTGTTGCAATGTATGTCATTTATAAAGAAATGATTATGGAGGTGTGTCCCTGTTTTTTTCCTGATAGGGTGCATGGTCCACAAAGACCATCAGCCTGAGGCTGTTCTGCTCAGCCCCACTCCTGGAGCCTGTGTCCCCTGTGGGGAGTCCTGGGCCATCTTGGAGGGAGGATGGACCAGAGGGCCAGACTGTGGGTGTCAAGGAAGGAGGGAGGGGTGGCCTCGGCTACTGAGGAACTGCCACGTTGTGTGTGGGGTGGGAGGGTGTTCAGATAAGGAGGTGATTGGACAGGCCTGGCAGGGAGACAGCAGGATGACTGATGTGATGGGTTGGGTTTGGAGGATTTTATTTCTTACTCGATGAGAAATGGGCACAGTTTATGCCTCGCAAAACGTGATCCTGTTGGGTACAATAAATTGTAAAAGTGAAGTCAGGGTTCCACTTGAGTGCATGTGACAGAAACCCAACTCACCTTCAGGATAAAAGAGAAATTGTTGGTCTATGTACTTCAAAGCTCCACCAGCTTCAGGAATGGCTGGCTCTAGGGCTTCTGGGTTGGCTTATTTCTCTGGAGACTTTCTCCTTGTGTTAACAGGATAGTTCCCAAAGGCTTCAGGCTCATAATTAATCAGCTCAATAATTCCAGTGGAAAGAAAACTTCCCCTTTCCATTTGGGCCAGAAAAAAATCACCAGACTGGCTGACTACTGGCTCAAACTGGGTCATATGCCCATCCTTGAAATAATCACAATGACTGTGATTGGCCCTGCATAGGCCACAGGTTGAACTCTGGTGCCTCTGTGAGAGGTGATGCCAATCCTCATAAAATATCCTAAGGAATTTCCCTTAGGAAAAGCCTGTTCTTCAGGGAAGGGGAAATAGAATCAGGGCAGCTGTCATCCCCCACACTAATACAGCAGACTCCAGGGACATCCAGTTAGAAATACAGGGTCATCTTTCAAGTGATCACACACTTGTTTTTCCTTGGATTGGAGGGAAGAATGCATCCCTCTTAGCCAGTGACATGTTTGTGGGCAGCAGGACAGGGTCTGGGTAAGACCTCCTCAGAGACCCAGGTACAGGCTTGGGGGCAGCTCTCCATGGTGTGGAGTGAAGTGAAGGGCAGAGAACACCTTGGGTGCCTAGGGAGCAGGTCCTCCCTTGACAACCAGTGAGATTGGAAGATGACAGGCAGAGCAGCTGTGCAACCCAGCGGGAAGGTTTCCCTGTCATTTAGATCTGTATTCAAACCCCAGCTCAGTCACTATTATAGGTGATGTTGGTAAGTGACGTCACCTCTCTGAGCATTGCTTTTTATCCCCGTTGGAATGGAACTGCCCCTCCCTGCCCCTGGTGGTTTTGAGGATTAAACAAGATGGTCTCTCTCGCTGCAGAGCACTGTCCCTGGCACATGGTGGGGCTGGTGACAATTGTGATTATTGTAGGCTCTGGGTCTGCACAGTGTGTGCCGGGAGGGGTCTGGCCGGCATGGGGGCCGCCTTGCTCCTGTTGAGACTGATTTGGACCTTAGTCATGGCTGGCCTGAGTCAGCACGTGGGAGGTCCCTGCTGACATGGCTTAAATTAGCTGGAGTTTGAGGCCTCTAGATAGGAGCAGGCAACAGGGAACTCCTGCCTGTCTCCTTCCCTGTTGCTGCAGGGCTCACCTCCCTCCTCATGAAGCTCCTCAGCGTGGGCGGACATGTTGGACTGGTGCTCAGCATCCATGTCACCACCTTTTGGGGTCCTTCCTGTACTGCAGAGGCTGGAAGGATACAAAGTACCTTTTCTGGACTCCCTCACAGCTAGGGCTCTGGAAGTTATTGAGATTTGAGCAGTCAAATACTCATCTACCACCTAACCATGATCCCTGGGGTGAGGAGTTCAGACGATGTTTTCTGGACCAAAGCTTTGGGTAACACATTGGTGAGGGAAGCATGGGCATCTTGAAAGGCTGTGCCTTGACTATTCTTTGCAGGCCAGCGATGATAGTGGGAGATGTCCCCATTGAAATGAGCTCCCTGAATAAATTGTAACAATGGCCATGAATACTTCTCCTCTCATCCACCGCACTCTGCAGCTCTTCCCAGGTGGAGTCTATTGCTCCACACCTTGTCTCTGGGTTTGGACGTGTGACCTGCTTTGGAAAAATGGAACAGTAGGAAAGGTGATGCAGGGCAAGGCTTTCAAAGACCTTGTGCATTGGGGCTTGCTTGCTCTTCCCTTTCCTTCTGCCCCTGGAGCCCAGCCCCAGTGAAGTCTGGCTGGACTGCTGGACGATGAGAGGCATGTGTGTCCAGTGCCACTGCACTCTGGCCAACAGCCAGCCAATTGCCAGATATGCGAGTGAGGTTATCCTGGCTTGTTCAGCCACCAGCTGTCTATAGGCACATGAAAGAGCTCAGCAGGAATCAGTCCAGGTTACCCAGAACACAAGAACCGTTCAGCTGCTCCACAGAACTGCGAGCAAAACAAAAGGTTAGTGTTTAAGCCACTAAGTTTTGGGGAAGTTAACTGATTCGAGGAAGCAGGAGAGTACGGGAGGTAGCCCCATACTGCCAGAGATAAGGTGGGTTGGAGCAATAATCAGGATGGCTTGGCCCAGAGAGATCTTCGGTGGTGTCTAATTGATCATGATGTCCTTGAACTCAGTACATGTCAGCCTACGAAAGTCTGACCTGATCTGCATGCCTCACAATTTGCTATGCCATGTTTTCCTTTGCATTTGTTCCAATGTTTTCTAATTTCATTTGCAGTTTTTTTTCTTCGACTCATGGGTTATTTTTATTTATTTATTTATTTACTTATTTAATTTTTTTTTTTTTTGAGATGGAGTCTCGCTCTGTCGCCCAGGCTGGAGTGCAGTGGCGCAATCTCGGCTCACTGCAAGCTCCGCCTCCCAGGTTCACACCATTCTCCTGCCTCAGCCTCCTGAGTAGCTGGGACTACAGGCGCCCGCCACCACGTCCGGCTAATTTTTTGTATTTTTAGTAGAGACGGGGTTTCACCGCGTTAACCAGGATGGTCTCGATCTCCTGACCTCATGATCTGCCCTCCTTGGCCTCCCAAAGTGCTGGGATTACAGGTGTGAGCCATGGTGCCTGGCTAACTCATGGATTATTTAGAAGTGTGTTATTTAGTTGGGGATTGACTTCCAATTTAATTCTATTGTTGTCAGAAGAGACATTTAGTATGATTTTCACCCTTTAAAATATATTGACACTTCCATTATGGTGCAGAATACAGTCTGTTTTGGCTAACGCTTTCTGTGTACTTGAAAGATATGTATTCAGATGTTGGATGGAGTGTTCTATAAACAGTAATTAGGTTAAGTTGTTTGATGATGTTGTTCATGTCTTCTATATCAGAGATTGGCAGGCTGGGTGTGGTGGCTCATGCCTGTAATCCCAGCATTTTGGGAGGCCAAGGCAGGTGAATCACCTGAGGTCAGGAGTTCGAGACCACCCTGACCAACATGGTAAAACCCTGTTTCTACTAAAAATACAAAAATCAGCTGGAAATGGTGGCGCATACTTGTAATCCCAGCTATTCAGGAGGCTGAGGCAGGAGAATCGCTTGAACCTGGCAGGCAGAGGTTGCAGTGGGCCGAGATTGCGCCACGGCACTCACACCTGGGTGACAGTGCGAGACTCTGTCTCAAAAAAAAAAAAAAAAAAGATTGGCAAACTTTTTTTAAAGAGCCACATTATAAGATTATAAATATTTTTGTCAGTGGAGGCCATACCATCTCTGTTGCAACTCAACTACTGAACTCTGCCATTATAGCATGAAGGCAGTCACCAACAGTATATAAAAAAGTGTTTGTGGTTGTTTTCCAATAAAACTTTATTTACAAAAACAAGGCTAATCTGTTTTCAGACCTCTGTTCTATAAGTTTATTGATTTTCTGTCTGCTTGTTCTGTCAGTTATTGAGAAGATGTGTCGAAATCTCCAGCCATAACTGTGGATTTGTCTATTTTTCCTTTTAGTTTTTGCTTCATATATTTTGAAGTCATGTTATTAGGTGCATTAATATTTAGGATTTTTATGTTTTCTTGACTAAGTAACTCTTTATCATTATGGAATGTCCCTCTTTATTCCTGGCAATAGTTCTTGTCCTGAAATCTATTTTATATGATATTAGTATAGCATCCCAGCTTTTCAAAAAGAGTAACTTCATGGTATGTGTGTATTATATATATGGAATATATATATTATATATATGAAATATATACAATATGGAATATATATTATATATATGAAACATATACAATATAGAATATATATAATATGGAATATATAATATATGGAACATGCATATTATATATGGCATATATGAATATGCATATTATGTATGGTAAATATGAACATGCATATTATATGTGGTATATATGAATATGCATATTATATATGAATATGCATATTATATGTGGTATATATGAATATGCATATTATATATGGTAAATATGAATATGCATGTTATATATGGTATATATGAACATGCATATTATATATGAATATGCATATTATATATGGTAAATATGAATATGCATATTATATATGGTAAATATGAATATACATATTATATATGGTAAATATGAATATGCATATTATATATGGTATATATGAATATGCATATTATATATGGTAAATATGAATATACATATTATATATGGTAAATATGAATATGCATATTATATATGGTAAATATGAACATGCATATTATATATGAATATGCATATTACATATGACTATGCATATTATATGTGGTAAATATGACTATGCATATTATATGTGGTAAATATGAATATGCATATTATATATGGCAAATATGAATATGCATATTATATATGAATATGCATATTATATATGGAATATATATGAAATAATATATAGTGAAATATATTATATATTTATGTATTATAAAATATATAATATATAATAATATATACAAATGAAATATATATATATTTACACTCCACTTAAAAATTTTTAACCTATCTGTAGCTTTTATATTTAAAATGGATTTCTTGTAGACAGCATATAGTTAGGTCTTATTTTAAAAAAATTTGGTTGTGCACAGTGGCTCACGTCTGTAATCCCAGCACTCTGGGGGGCCGAGGCAGGTGGATCACCTGAGGTCAGGAGTTTGAGACCAGCCTGGCCAACATGGTGAAACCCCATCTGTACTAAAAATACAAAAAAATTAGCCAGGCATGACGGTGGAGGCCTGTAATTTCAGCTACTCAGGAGGTTGAGGCAGGAGAATCTCTTGAACCCGGGAGGCAGAGGTTGCAGAGAGCCGAGATCGCACCATTGCACTCCAGCCTGGGCAACAAGAGCAAAACTCCATCTCAAAAAAAAAATTTTTTTTTGATCTGATAATCTGTGCCTTTTAGTTAGAATGTTAGAACATTTACATTTACTGTGATGATTGATATGGCTGAATTTAATTCTAGCATATTGCTAGTTTCTTTCTATGCCATCTGTTCTTTGTTTTTCCTTTTTTTCCTGCTTTATTTTTCTTCTGCAATGTCTAATATGCTGTTAATCCCATCCATTGTAGTTTTTATTTGTAGAAGCTTAATTTTTGACTTTTTTATATGTTCAATTTCTCTTTTCATCATGTTCATGTTTTCTTCTCCCTTCTTGAACATGTTGAGTATTTTTATAATAGTTGTCTTAATGCCATAATCTAATAATTCTATCATTTGTGTCATTTGTTGATCTGTTTCTATTGATTAATTTTTCTCCTTATATTTTCCTGTTTCTTTGCATGTCTGATGATTTTTGATTGAATAGCAGATTTATAAGTGTTTTGATCCTGGGTGCTGGATTTTTGTCTGTTTGTGCTTTGTTCTGGGATAGAGTTTGATTCTTTTGTGACTTGCTTTTAAGCATTGACCCAGAATAGCCTTTAATCTAGGACTAATTTGGCCCCATTGTTGAGTTCCATTCTGGCCAGTGGGAACATGAACACTTCCTGGCCCTGTGTCAACCCTAGGGATTGTTCTGTCTGCTACTTTTCCGTGGTTCTTTACCTAGCCTCACAAGTTTCTTCACATACATGCAATGATCAGTATTCCACTGACTAACCAAGGAGAGCCCTGTGCAGAATTTCAGTACCACCTACCCCCTCTCTTCAGCTCTCTTTCTGGTACTCTGCCTTGTTAATTCTGTCTACCTTGTCTTCTGAACACTGTCTCTGTAAATCAGGGAGACCACAAGAATCTGTTTAAGCCTCCCTCCCAGCACTGGAGCCTGAAACTCCCTTCAGAGATGAGACAGCACAGCGATGGGGCTCACCTCATTTGTTTTCATTCCCTCAGAGATCATCATCCTGCACTGTTGGTAAAATCTGAAAACCATTGTTTTGCATATTTTGTTTTGTTTAGTTGTTTAAGATGGGAGGGTAAGTCTACTCCCTGTTATACCATCATGACCAGAAGCAGAAGTCATATAATTTGATCTGCCTAAACACCAACAAAAAAGGTTCTTTAGGTCAGGTGACTAGAGCCCTGAATTGAATTGCCATAATAGGGAGTCACAGTCCCTTATCCAGTTCCCAGACCAAAGCCAGTTCACAGACCAGGTATCCCTTGAATAAAGAGGAGGCTGGAATCCCTGAGGAATTACCTTGTGACATTGCCCCCAAGCCAGGCCCAAGAGACTCAGGCATGGTATTCCTTTTAGAAGTGCTGAGAAAAGTTACTCTTTCTCTGCTGGGATTGCTCAGCTAGGAAGAGGTAAGGATGGAGATGCTGTGGCCATTGTGGGGTGGGTCAAGACATATGGAGGAAACAAGAACAAAGAAATGGACACAGCCTGGTTCCTGAAGCCACCTTTTGAGCCCCCACACCAGCCTTGTGGGTCATGGTTGTTCAGTCTCATGAGCCAATGTATTACCTGTTTTGCTTAAGTCGCTTTGAGGTGGGTTTCTGTGTTGGGTTGAGACCTGAGGAATTTGTGTCAGGGCATGAAAGGAGCTTCTTGAGAGAGGAAGCACTCCCAGGGTCTGGATCACATGAAATAGCCCAGGAAAAATCCAGGCAATGTGAGTCTGCAGATTCCAATTGGGAATGCCAACTAGGGATACCAAGGAGCTCACCTAGCCCCAAGAAGATGAGGGGGGCAAACCAGACATCCCAATTCCAGAGCTCAACCCTTGCCAGGATACTACCTGCAGCCCCTCTGGGACTTCCATGTCCTCTTTCTTGTCTCTATAAGCATATGTGACATCTGACTTGTGACAGGTCTGGGGCTAGTGCTCCAGTGGGGAGGTATATTCAGCTTTTCTTGCATTGTTATAAAGAAATACCTGAGACTGGGTAATTTATAAAGAAAAGAGGTTTAATTGGTTCATGGTTCTGCAGGCTGTACAAGCATGGTGCTGGCATCTGCTTGGCTTCTGGGGAGGCCTCAAGAAGCTTACAGTCATGGTGGACGGTGAAGCAGGATCAGGTACCTCATATAGCAAAAGCAGGAGCAAAAGAGAGAGAGAGTGGGAGGGGGTAGGTGGCACACACCTAAACAATTAGATCTTGTGAGAACTTACTACAGTGAGGACAGCACCAAGCCATGAGGGGTCCACCCCCATGACCAAAACTCCTCCCACCAGGCCCCATCTGCAACACTGGGATTACAATTCAACATGAAGATTTGGTGGGGATAAATATCTAAACTATATCAGGAGGAGAAAGGGATACACAGGGGGTTCTGCATTCCTTGAGGGTAAGGTCCGAGCAGGAGGCTGGGAGCTGATTTTCTACACAGGTTACCCTGCCTCTTCTATACCCTATCATACGGTGGGTGGTGTCCTTAGATATGCACATCTCCCCTCCCAGCCCCCAGACTTCTCAGATATCACTGAGCTCCAATTGCACTGAAACCAGTATCCCCCTCACCATGTACCTCCCTCACCCAGCCCATTATCCATCCAGGAGCCATTCAGGGGTGCATCCTTAGTTCTAGGCCCTGGACCAAGCTCTGGGGCTACAGTATTGCCAGATATGTCCCTTCTTTCTACAAGTGGAGGTGAAAGTCAGCCAGTCCTGGAAAGCCCCAGCATGGCTCCACATGGATGCATTGCCAAGAAGAAGCAGAAGTGTGTGTGAGTTCTTACCCACTAGAATGGCTATAGTAAATTAGACAGACCAAAATTACTGTCGAGGGTGTAGAGAGATGGGAATGCTCATACACTGCTGGTGGGAATGTAAGGTGGTGTAGCTGCTTTGGAAAATAATTTGGTGGCTGGCCGGGTGTGTAATGGTGGCATGCCTCATGCCTGTAATCCCAGCGCTTTGGGATGCTGAGGTGGGAGGATCACTTGAGGCCAGGAGTTCAAGACCAGCCTGGGCAACATAGCGAGACCTCATCTTAAAAAGAAAACAAAAATAATTTGGTGGTTTCTCAAACAGTTAAACATAACACTACCATACAACCCAGCAATTCCACTCCTAGGTGGAATAAAATGAAAATAAGAGAAATGAAAGCATATGTCCACACAGAAACTTGTACATTAATGTTCTTAGCAGCATTATTCATAATAGTCAAAGAGTAGAAACAACCCAAATGCTCATCAACTGATGAATGGATAAACAGTATGTGGCATAATGAAACATTATGCAGCTATGAAAAGGAATGAAGCCCATTTACATGCTCCAACATGATGAACCTTGAAAACATTAAGCTAATTGAAAGAAGCCAGTCACAAAAGGCCACATATTGTATTTGTTACCACAAGTTGTTGAATTCTATACTTGAAATGGATGAGTTTTATGACATGTAAAATACACCTCAGTAGTTTTTTCTTTTTAAAAAAAGTGTGTTAGGAGACTGAGGAGGAGTAACGTGGGTGGACGGTGGAGATGGAAGACTCAGTTCTGAGGTTTGTCTTCCTTAATAATTCAGAAATCTGCCCAATTCTTTCCATTCCTACTGCCACCACTCTGGACCAAGCTGCTATCATCTGTCTGTCTGTTTCCCTGACCACTGCCACAGTGTCCTCACTGACCTCCCCATACCTGCTCCTTTGCCCTCTCCATTTACTGGCCACACCACAGTCAGCTGCGGGTCTTTTTTGCAATGTGGCTTTGATTGGATCACTGCTGCTTAGAAAAAAGCATAGGCACAAATCTCTGAGCTAGGCAAGCATTCGTAGATATGACACCAAAAGCACAAGCAACCAAAGGGGAGGAAAGCCAGATAAATTGTACTTCATCAATATTTAAAACTTCGTGTTTCAAAAACACTATCAATAAAATGAAAAGACAAGCCGCGGAATGGGAGAAAATATTTGCAAGTCATATCTCTGATGAAGGTCTAGTGTCTAGAATATATAAAGAACTCCTTAAACTCAACAATAAAAAGACAAATAATCCAATTTTTTAAATGGACAAAAGACTTGAATGGGCATTTCTCCAAAGAAGATAGACAAGTGGCAACAAACACATGAAATAATGCTCAGCATCAGTAAAATGATGTGCATCAGAAAATGCACATCAAAGCTACAGTGAGACACCACTTTACATCCGCTAGGGTGGCTGTAATAAAGATGGACGATAGCAATGGTGAGGATGTTGAAGCATTGGAACCCTCTTGCGTTGCTTCTGGGGAATGTAAGATGGTGCAGCCATTTTGGAAACAAGCAGGCAGTTTCTTGAAAAGTTAAACATGAAGCTACCATATGACCCATCTTCTGCTCCTAGGTATATATCCAAGAGAACTGAAAACAAATGTTCAAACAAAAACTTACATTATGTTCAAAGCAGCATTATTCCTAATAGCTAAAGGATATAAACAATCCAAATGTCCACCAACTGATGAATGGATGGGCAAAGTATGGAATGTTGATGCCATGTAATTTTATTTAGCCATAAAAACAGTGAAAAAGTGATATGTAAATTATATCTTTTTGGAGCATAAATATTTTAATTGTCTAAAATGATATTTTCTTTAAGAGTTATCTTCAGTTCAAAGCTCACTTTTTGAAGTGTCACATCCGTCAACCTTTTAAGAGACATAAAATTATGAGAAGATATCACCAGAAGCTATGTAAACATTTCAGCTAAAGGCAAAAGGAAAGTTAAGGGTGTTTTCACAAGGAAACCCAAAGAAGACAACCAGAAGGAAACAAGTTCAACATGGCCATACCAATCTGGGTAAAAGAACTAGAGTGGAAATTCAAGCTGCCGAGAAAGCGGGAGAAGGAAAGAAAACTTGGTTCAAACAGATCGCACAAGGAAACCCAGCACAAATCCTGGCTTTGGCATTATTTGGTAACCCTTATTTTTGGTCATAGGTGACTCTAATACTGGTCCTATTGTTGCAAAACAAGTCCAAATACTACCAGCTAAAAAGAAATCTCTCATTGACTTGTTGGGTAGGTGGTACCCATGTCCTCCCCCACCAAGAGATCAGTTCTGGCAAGAGGGCTCCAGTGCATTTTGATGGTGCTTTTGGTAGGATGCCCAGTGATGTTCTGCTGCCTGAGATACAAGGTGGGAGGAGAGTGCACTTCGTTCATTACTCAATCGACATCTTGGCCTTGAAGAAGCAACACAGGTAGAAAACCTGCCAGGTGGCTAGTCCAATGAAGCAGAACATTAAAGAGACACTGAAGTACAGGGCTCAAGTGTTTGTTGATTCATTAGTACTACACATCTCTCTCTTCTTCACGTAGCAAAATCATTAACAATAGATTCTGACAGGTCTTCTAGGCATTGCAGCTCCATCTATAACGGTTTAAGCTTCTCGACTTTTGTAATCTCCTTGTAATTTCTTTTCTGCCTCTACTCCATGCTTCATGTCTAGGATTACGAATTGATCAGGTATCCACCCTGTTTCCTTGCTCTCAAATCACACTTCAAACATGTCATAATCTTCCAGGATAAAGGCAAATTTCCCTTTGGTTGCATCCTCTTTGGAGTAGAGAATGTGGCCAGCAGAATCTGTGACCTTGAGGTGGCTGTGCAGGCTGCCAGCACCCCCAGACTTGTTGGAGATCTCGTACGCACCCATCACTAGCAGGTCCTTGTGGATCTCCTCATGGAGGAACTTTCAGGAGTTAATGGGCAGGTGGAAGGAGATGGTGAGGACCAGGCTGGGGCTGAGCAGAAACAAAAACAGCCATGCCAACATTGTTACTGAAAAAAAAAAAGGAGTCAAGAGTGAAGCACTGATGTATGCTATGCCATAGATAAACAATAAAATATGTTACGTGAAAGAAGTCAGACACAGAAGGCTGCATGTATAATTGCATTTACATGAAATGTCCAGCAAAGGCAAACCCATAGAGACAGAATGTAGATGAGAGCTTTCCAGAGGTTGGGGGATAGGGTGAGTGAGGAGTGACTGCTAAGGAGCACAGAGATTCTTTATGGGGTGATAAAAATATTCTGAAATTAGAACAGTGGTATTAGATAGGAGTGATGGTTGCAAAATCTGGATATATTCAAGATGATTGAATCACAGAAGTTTTTAAGGTGAATTTATGGTAAGTGAATTATACCTCAACAAAAAATATTAACAAGTAATAAGACACTCCAAATTTTAGTTATGTACATGGCCACCCAGCTAGTGACCACGTTTCCCAGCCTCTTTGTAATCAGCGTGGTCATGTGATTAAGCTTGGGCTAATAAGATTCCAGGAGAAGTGATGAGCCCCAATAAGCTGTTTCCTCTGGAGTCCTCATTCTCCTTCCCCTGGGCTGGAGGGCAAACATGGAGGTGATCATTGCGCCACCAGGGGCTAGACAGATACTCTTGTGGAGAAGAGCTGCCCTGCCAGCCCTGGGCTGCTCCTCAGCAGACTGCTTCTTGAGGAGGGAATAAGCCAAAGCCATGAAGAGACTCATTTTTTCCCTCTGCTTCCTGCTTTGACGTGTCCCTCCCTGAGGCAATGAGTACAGAAATGACCTGATGACCTGAATAGGGGAGGAGGTAAAAGAGGGCTTGAAGGAAGTCTTTGGGCAAAAAATTGATAATTTTAAAAACATCTTCCTACAGCAGTACTTCTCATGGCTCTTAGGATGAAGCTCAGAATACTAAATGTGCCCCTCCAATGTGCCTGGGATCTGGCCAGATCCTGGATCAAGGCCAGGATGTGGCCTTGCCTCTGCTTTCAATTTAGCTCAGGTTCCCCAGGTACTTGCATGGAATGGCCACTTCAGAACACTTTCCACTTTGCCTCATTATTATACGTTAATTGGTGCTTCCTCTTGGTTGATGTCTGTCTTCCCCATGAGGCTGTGAATCTGAGGAAATCAGAGACTGTATCTGTTTAATAGACCATGGCTAGCACTTGGTGCACGATAAATGCTTCATACCATTTGTTGAAAAAAAAAAAACTAAATGAACGAGGGAAGGTGTTGTAAATTAGGGGCTTTTGTTAGTCTGAACTATTGACTTCAAATGACAGGATTGCAACCCAAATACACAGGCAAAAACAGGTTGGTGTGGCTGATGTAACTGGGAATTATAAGGCACTAGAGAGAGACAATAAAACCAGTCTCTCTCCATTACCGTCTCTACTTTCCTCTATGTGGGCTTCTTACAAGGTGGCACAGAAGTCCCCAGTACTCTCAGGCTCTTGTCTCTCCAGTTGAGCTACTTTGTGGGAAAAAAGGACTTTTAAATTTTCCAGTGATTCCAGCAAAAGTTCCAGAATTTACTCTAATTGGTCTAGTGTGTGTCTTGTGATCACCAACGATCCAATCACTGAGGCCAAGAACATCTGGTACTGTCTTATTTTTGAAGTGATGTTTGAGCCTACACTGAATTCAGGATAGAGGAGATTTGTGAAAGTGGAGATGAGGAAAGGGCTTTTCTCGGCAATGTTTGAGGATAGGCACAGTGTGGCGGGCAAAAATAAAGCCTATATTAGGGGCATAGGTTCATGAGAAAGGCAGCTTAGAGTCGTGACTAGAACTCAAGACGTGGTGTTAACAGGCCTAGGTGAAGCGAGCAGAGGCTCTGCCACTTACTAGTTGGGGCATCTTGGTTGAGTCTTAACTTTGCCTTGCCTTGATTTCCCCACCTGTAAAATGGGGATTAAAAAAAATCCTAAGCGAGAGGGATCTTGGGAGAATTTCATGGGACAAAGTACATGAAAGAACTTTGTAGTCAGGAAAGTGGACAAATATAGAAGCCAACATGAAGCTGCAAAGGTGGGGGACTCGGATGGTAAAGTCCTTGAGTGCTATGAGAAGGTGTTAGGAGAGGGAATGTGTTCATTGGTTTCTGTCCATTGCATGTAATAGATGATCAACTATAAGTCTTTGTCAATGATAATTATTTTCTCACATAACATGAAGCCCAGAGGATTGGGCAGCCCCAAGTTTGGATAGGTTAGTGGCTCACAAATGCCAGCAGGAATGGACCCACAGATGGGGCCAGGTGCCATTCATCTTCCTCTTACAATCCTCAGCATGTTCATGGTCATGAATTGACTGCTTTGGATCTATTTGCCAAGAACAGACAAGACCACATCTGGTGAAGAAGATGTGCATCTTCTCTAACATCACAGGAAAGCTTTCAATTGGGGTTCTTGTTTGCAAGCAATGCAAACTGACTCCATGTAACTTAAGCTTATACCATCTCCCCAAAAGGAGTTTTCACAATGGTAAGTTAAAATTAGATTTTCTGCAAGTAATAGACAATCTCAAAATAATGGTGGTTTAAATAAGATGGGAATGTATTTCTTATTTTTGAGAAGTCCATAGGTGGACAATCCACGGCTGCTGTGGATTTGCACAGCGCTAGGGACCCAGGCTCTTCCCAGCTCAACACTCTGCCATCCTAGATGAAGGTCTTCATCCCATGGCTCAAGATGGCAGCTAGAGTTCTGCCATCATATCTGCATGTCAGGCAGCAGGATGGGGAAAAGGAGAGAGCAGAGAGGGCAAATTCCAAATGAAAACGTATGTCCACACAAAGACCTATATGAGAACAGTTAGAGATGCTTTATTCATACTGCCCAAGACTGAAAGCAACACAATTTCCTGTCAACTGATGAATGGATGAACACACTGTGGTTTATCCATGCAATGGAACACTATACAGCAATAAAAGGGATAGAGCTATTGGTACATGCAACAGTACAAATGAATTGGAATGCATCATGCAAGGCAGAAGCTGCATGACCTTTATGACCTAGCCTTGAATGTCACATAGTATAATTTCCACCACCATGACAGAAATGATCAAAAACCTGTCCAGACTCAAGGGGAGGGATCAAAGGGAGATAGTGTCAAGGAATTTGCATCTATGTTTAAAAATTACCACAGTGTTATCTTGGACCAGAGGTAGAGATGGGTGGTTAATGGTGTTTGATGATGCTGAGTGGACAAATAGATTGAGGCAAAAGGAGAAATGACTAGATTCAACAACTAATCCATCCCCATGGAATTCTTTCAAGAGCTTGAGGGGGAGGTGGGAAAGCCAAGACAACCAGTGTAGGCTGCAGAAATGCAGCACACTTAAGGTAGATGGCTTAGCAGAATAGAGATCTCCTGCAGACTCCTCTTAGGAACTTCTGAAAAGAGTTGTCTACACTCCTGTCTTCTGCTTCTTTAACTGCCTGCCCACTCCCTCAGCCTTGGCCACCTGGATTCTGCTCCCACTGCCATTGAAACTTCTCTGGAAGGTACTCCTCTCCTCTGCTTGGGCCACCTGAAGCACTCGATGTGTGGATCCCACCCTTCTCCTTTGATTTCTTCTACTGGTTGTACTCTCCTAAATTCCTCCTGATTTCATGCCCACTCCTTCTCTGAGGCCAACTGTCTCTTCTATCACCTCAAAGTCAGTGTTTTCCAATGATCTTCCCTGGTTCCTCCTCTCTCTCAGCCCACTCTTGTCCATCCTGTGGCTTCAGTCTTTACCTCTTTGTTGATAATTTTCAAATCTTGGTCTGAAGTGTAGGCTCCTCTCCTGTACTTCAGACCTCGATACTGCATCATTTCCTGAACAGTGTAATGCCACACAGGCATCTCAAATTTGGAATACCCAGAGTTGAACTCATGATCTCTCCTTCTCATCATGCTTGCTTCCTCTTCCCGGGTCCCTGTCTCTGTGAAGGGTTCCACCAACTATGAAGCTATCAGATAAAAATCTTCACATCATCCTGTTATCTTTCTTTTTCCTGTATCCAATCAATCAGTAGGGTCTCTTGGTTTCACCTCCTAAGTGTTTCTTCTGCTCATCTTCCTCTCCATCTTCACTGTTAGCCACTTCAGTTCCTACCTCCATCAATGGCAGATTAAGTTTTCCAGACCAACCCTTCCTCTGAGAATAACTAGAAAATCTGGACTAAATATTTTTTAAAATCTCTTTGAAGAGCTACTATAGCAATGAGAGATTGCAGGGCTAAGATAATTGGAGTTAAGTTAGTAAAAATCTGTGTAGTCCCAGCTTCTCGGGAGACTGAGGCAGGAGAATTGCTTGAACTCGGGAGGCGGAGGTTGCAGTGAGCCAAGATGGTGCCACTGCACTCCAGCCTGGCAACAGAGCGAGATCTGAAGTTGATGGTAAGCCCTAGATCAGCCACTAAGGATAGAAGGGACACCCAGAGATGGGTGTCTGGCAGATGGGAGTCTGGCATTTGGTACCATTTCCCTCTCAAGGCTGATTCTGAAAGGCTGAAAAGTTAAGAAGTAAACCGAACTCTTTTTTTTTTTTTTTTTTTTTTGAGACAGTTTGGCTCTGCATCCAGGCTGGAGTGCAGTGGCATGATCTCGGCTCACTGCAACCTTCGCCTCCTGAGTTCAAGTAATTCTCCTGCCTCAGCTTCCCAAGTAGCTGGGGTTACAGGCATGCACCACCATGCTTGGCTAATTTTTTTATTTTTTCAGTAGAGACGGGGTTTCACCATGTTGGCCAGGCTGGTCTTGAACTCCTGACCTCAAGTGATCAGCCTGCCTGGGCCTCCCAAAGTGCTGGGATTACAGGCGTGAGCCACTGCGCCCGGCCGTAAACAACTCTTGACAGATTCATGGTCCTGAGAAGATAAGAAACGGAAGTCAGAAACTGCCCAGAAGCAGGGGCCTTGATAAAATCCCCAGGTTCAGACCCCAAAGGGCACTACACCCTGGAAGCAAGTTTGTACTTCTGGCCTGACAGCATGAGGAGCTCTATGGACCCAGCTGCAATCAAAACTGGTAAAAAGTTATTCTAAAACAATCACTCTGGAAATGGTCCTAAGAACATATGGCAAATGAAGAAATATTTATTCAAGCAAATCTCCTAAAACTCAGTCTGTGGTATTTGGACCAAGACCCTCTTTCCCCTTGCTCCCAGCTCAGTGAGATAGTGAAACCCTGCATCGTGCTAGTATAGTCGAGGACACAGGACTCCTTCCCCCGCCACCCTGCAGCTTTCTGTTGAAGGGTTATCCTCCTGGGAGGGGCAGATCTTCAGATTTTTCTCATTCTGCCCACAGCTACCTGTTGCTGAGGCTAAATTCCGGGCAAGTGCATCTCAGAAGTGGAGGCTTCCTTCTGCCCAGCACCCCCCACTTGTAGGACAAAGGCTCAGTACAGGGCACAGAACCACCGAGAATCCTGGGGCCCCTACTGCTCACCCCCTGTCCTGTGGGATGAAGGATCCACACTGGGAAAGGTAAGCTGAGGAGACCTGGGGCTGCTGCCTCCCCCTCTCCACTGAGTGCTCAGCTCCTAAAACTGGGGTGTCACTGAGAGGAGAGCATGCCATTGTTCCTGCCCCAATTACCAGAACCGTGGCTCAGAGATTTTGCCCAGAGAGAGAAGCAAGCCATAAAATAGAAAACTCCAAATCTCTCCCCAAAGGAACTGACTTTATATGCAACAGAGTTTGGAGAAATTCAAGCCTAAGAGCGCTCTGAAAATCAGTGGAGGTTGTGGTGAAAGGCCATGAGGGGGATGTTGCTAGATTCAGTGGAGAAACAGGCTAAACTGCAAGCTGGCTACTTTGCTGAATAGAAATGGGGAAGAGACAGCTGGGAGGGGCCGTCTTGGGAGTTAGAACAAGTTTCAAACACTAACCTTGGGAATTATTTGTGCAGTTTAGGCCAAGTGCGAAGTCAGAGGGGACACAGTCCACATGAGACTGCCCTTACTTTTAATATTAATTGCAAGTTTGGGGGGTCCCCAAGTTTTGACAGTTCACTGGAAAGACTCACAGAACTCACTAAAAGCTGTTAAATTCACAGTTACAGTTTATCACAGGGAAAGGATACAGATTGAGATTAGTCTGAGAAAGAGGTAAAGAGGGCATAGTCCAGGAAAAGTACCAAAGCAGAACTTCAATTGTTTTTTTAAGAGAACAAGGAATGATAAATAACATGGCTAATATAATAAAAACTATAAATACATAGTTGCTCTCTTTTCTCCTCACAGCTTCTTTGAGACCTGAAGTTATGTAAAGTAATAATTATAACACTGTAATGTTGGGTTTATAGCATTCATAAATGTAATATATAAAAATAACAATAATACTGTAAAAAAGGGGGAAAAGTGAATAGAGCTATTAGGAGTAACATCTCATTGGAGTTAAGTTAGTAAAAATCTGAAGTTGATGGTAAGCCCTAGATCAACCACTAAGGAAATACCTCAAAAGAATATATTGAAAATAACATTACATAAATTTAAAGGCTAAATTAGAAAATATTTAATGCAAAGGGAAGGAGTAAAGTAGGAATAGAGGAACAAAAAAGACAGTAGACAGAGAAAAAAAAGTAAAATAGCAGAAGTAGATCCGATTATATCAATAATAACATTATATGTAAATGGATTAAACAATCTAGTCAAAAGTCAGAGATTGTCACACGGGAAAAACAAACAAGACCCAACTATACCTTGTCTAAAGGAGCCACAATTTGGAGTTACAGATACAAATAGACTGAAAAAAAGAATTGGAAAAGGATATATTATGCAAACAGCAAACACAAGAGGGCTGGATTGGCTATACTAATTCATGTAAAATAGACTTTTAGCTGGACTGAATAAGTAAAAGACAGAAAAGACTCAATATTTAGAATCAGGAATGAATGAGGGAATGTTACTACTGAACTTACAGAAATAAAAATGATTATAAATGAAAACTGTGATCAATTATATGCTAATAAAATTAGGTAACCTAGATGAAGTGGGCAAATTCCTAGAAAGGCACAAACTACCAAAACTAATTCAAGAAGAAACAAACAATCTGAATAGACCTGTAACAAGCAAAAAGATTGAGTTAGTAAACAACAACAACAGAACTACTCCCAAAGAGAAACTCAGGGCCAGATGACTTCTGGTGAATTCTACCAAAAATTTAAAGAATTTCACAACTTTTTCTCCAAAAAAAAAGAAGATGAGAGAACAATTCCCAACTCTTTCTATGATGCCAGCAGTACACTGATACCAAAACCAGACAAAAAAATTACACGAGAAGAAAACTACAGACCAATATCTCATGATTATGAATGCAAAACTCCTACACAAAATACTGGCAGACTCAATCCAGCAACATATATAACAAATTATACACTATAACCAAGGGGTATTTATTCAAGAATGTAAGGTTAGTCAACATTTAAAAATCAATCAGTGCAATACACCATATCAACAGAATGAAGGACAAAACCAAATGATCATCTCAATAGATGCAGAAAAAAGCATTTGACAAAATCCAACAACATTTCATAATAAAAACATTCATCAAACCTGTAGTAGAAGGGAACTTCCTCAACCTGATAAAGGACATCTACAAAACACCTACTGCTAACATCATACTGAATCATGAAAGACTGGATACTTTTTCTCTAGGATCAGACACAAGGCAAGGATACCCACTCTTGCCACTTCTATTTAACATTATACTAGAGGTTCTAGCAGGCTAGTTGGTCAATTAAAAGAAATATAATGCATTCATATTGATAAGAAAGAAGTAAAATTATCTCTATTCACAGAAGACATAATATTATAAACAGAAAATCCTAACTCACTAGAAAAAGTATTAGAGCTAATAAATGAATTAAGCATGGTTGTAAAATACAAGATCAATATATAAAAGTCAATTGTATTTCTATACACTTGCAATGAACAATCTAAAAATGAAAGTAAGAAAACAATTCAATAGCAAATAGCACCAAAAACCTAAAATCCTTAGTGATAAACTTAACTAAAGAAGTGTAAAACATATAATCTGAAAACTACAAAACATTTTTATTAAGCAATCTAAAGAAAATAGAAATAATTAGCCAGGCATGGTGGTGCATGCCTATAATCTCAGCTGCTTGGGAGGCTGAGGCAGGAGAATTACTTGAACCCAAGAGACAGAGGTTGCAGTCAGCCGAGATTGAGCCATTGCACTCCAGCCTGGGCAACAAGAGCGAAGCTACATCTCAAAAAAAAAAAAAAAAAAAAAAAAAAAAAAAAAAAAAAAGGAAATAGAAATAAATGGAAGAACATCCCATATGCATGGATCAGAAGTCTTAATATTGTTAAAATGACAATATTCCCCAAATTGATGTACAGATTCAACAAAGTCTCTGTCAGAATCACAGCTGAATTCTTTTAATGGTAAAATAGAAAATCTGGTTCTAAGATTCATATGGAATTGTGGGGGATCAAGAATAGCCAAAAACAATTCTTAAAAAGAAGAACAAAGTAGGAGGACTTACACGTCCTGATTTTAAAACTCTCTACAGGCCGGGTGTGGTGGCTTACACATGTAATCCCAGCACTTTGGGAGGCCGAGGCAGGTGAATCACGAGGTCAAGAGATCGAGACCATCCTGGCCAACCCGGTGAAACTCCGTCTCTACTAAAAATACAAAAATTAGCTGGGTATGGTGGCGCACACCTGTAGTTCCAGCTACTTGGGAGGCTGAGGCAGGAAAATTGCTCCAACCCAGGAGGTGGAGGTTGCAGTGAGCCGAGATCATGCCACTGCACTCCAGCCTGGTGAGAGAGTGAGACTCCATCTAAAAAAAAAAAAGAAAAAAAGTACTACAAAGCAACAGTAATCAAGACAGTGTGGTACTAGCATAAGGATAGCCAGAAAGACCAATGGAATAGAATAAAAATCTAGAATTAAACCCATGCATTGGTGGCAAACTGATTTTTCACAATGTTGCCAAGATGGGGAAAGAATAGTTTTTTCAACCAGTGGTACTGGGACAACTGGGTAGACATATGCGAAGGAAAGAAGTTGGACCCTTACCTTACACCATATAAAAAATTGACTCAAAATGGATCAAAGACCTAAATATTCACTTCCATACAGTTTATCCATATAACCAAAATCCACTTGTACCCTAAAGCTGTCAAAGAAAAAAATAGACCTAAAACTATAAAACTATTAGAAGAAATATAGGAGTAAATCTTCAAGACCTCAGATTTGGCAATGATTCTTAGACTGAACACCAAAAGCATAAGCAACAAAAGAAATAAATAGAAAAATTAGAAATTTGTCGAAATTAAAAACTTTTGTGCTTCAAAAGATACCATCAAGAAAGTGAAAAGACAACCCACAGAATGGAATAAAATATTTTCAAATTATGTATCTGATAAAGGACTTGTATCTAAAAATATTTTTAAAAATCTTACAACTCAATAATTTTTTAAAAAACCAAATAAACAGCTGGGCGTGGTGGCTCATGCCTGTAATCCCAGCACTTTGGGAGGCCAATGAGGGTATATCACGAGGTCAGGAGTTCAAGATCAGCCTAGCCAAGACGGTGAAACCCCATCTCTACTAAAAATACAAAAATTAGCCAGGCATGGTGGTGGGCACCTGTAATCCCAGCAACTTGGGAGCCTGAGGTAGAAATTTCTTGAACCCGGGAAGTGGAGATTGCAGTGAGCCAAGATCGCACCACTGCACTCCAGCCTGGGCGACAGGGTGAGACTCCGTCTCAAAAAACAAGAACAAGAACAAGAACAAAAACAAAACAAGAACAAAAACAAAAACAAAAACCAAATAAACAAATTCAAGTCCTTTGGCCATTTCAAAATGGCATTTCTCCAAAGAAGATATACCAATGTCCAATAAACATGTGAAAAAATGATCAACATCATTAGTTATCAGGGAAATGCAAATCAAAACCAGGACACATTGATTCACATCCACTAGGATAGCTATAATAAAAAGTCAAATAACAAGTGTTGATGAGGATATGGAGAAATTGGGACCCTCATACAGTGCTGGTGGGAATATAAAATGGTACAGTCACTTTAGAAAACAGTCTGGCAGTTCTTCAAATGGTCAAGCGTGGAGTTACCCTATGACTTAGAAATTTTACTCTTGGGTATCTACCCAAGAGAAGTGGAAACACATGTTTACATTAAAACTTGTACACAAATGTTCACAGAAGCACTATTCATAATATCCAAAAGGTAGAAACAACCCAAATGTCCATCAACTGATAAATGGGTAAATAAAATGTGATATAGCCATAGACTAGAATATTATTCAGTCATAAAGAGAAAGGAATACTGGCGCTTGTTACTACTTGGATAAAACTTGAAAACATTATGCTAAGTGAAAGAGCTAGTCACAGAAAGACCACAAAAAGAGCTAGTCACAAAAAGAATATAATCCCATTTTTATTGAATGTCTAGAATAGGCAAATTATAGGGACAGAAAGTAGATTAGTGGTTGCTTAGAGGTAGGGCATATGGGGGTGATAAGAGGGGTGATAGTTAAAGGATGTGAATTTTTTTTTTGAGCTATGAAAACATTCTAAAATTGATTTAGAAATGCTTGCATAAATCCATGAATATATTAAGCACCACTGAATTTTGCACTTTGAATGGGTGAATTGTATAGTGTGTGAATCATATCTCAATAGAACTGTTATTAAAAACCAAGCAAGAGTGAATCAGAAATAGGCCATCTCTCATTGGGATTGATGCTTAGTTTTGAATTATCTCCACGATTGGATTGAGATGATCGAAGACTGGTAATGTTTCTACCCTGGCTGTTCTCTAGAAGCAAATGTAAATCCTTTCTAAAGAAAGATACCATCATTCAGAACTTTATATTATCTCTATAGGTTTTCATAGACAATGTCTGGCACGCAATTAAAAATCACCAGGCAAATGAGAAGATGGGGTGTGATTGAAAACACAAGAAAAAGGACAGAAGAAACAGGCTTCATTATCTTTTAGGTTTCAGCTTAAACATTAGTTCCTCAGGAAAGTTTTTCTGAACTCCCTGGAATTATAAGTCCCTAAGCACATTTAGTTCCATTCCACCCTATGCTTCCCCTGGTTACTTATTCAACGTCTGCAAGCAAACTGTATAACCATGTTCAGTATATAAGTTGTGCATAAATTAGGATTTAACTTGTCCTATTCACAATAGGAAAGTCATAAAATCAACTTGAAAGTCAATCCATCAGCAGTGGATTGGATAAAGAAAATGTGGCACATGTACACCATGGAACACTATGAAGCCATAAAAAAGAACAAAATCATGTCCTTTGCAGCAACATGGCTGCAGCTGGAAGCTATTATCATAAATGAATTAATGCAGAAATAGAAAGCCAAATACCTCATGTTCTCACTTACAGGTGGAAGCTAAATCTTGGGTACACATGGACATGAAAATGAGAACAGACACTGGGGACTCCAAAAGGAGGGAGGGAGGGAGAAGGGCAAGGACTAAAAATCTCCCTATTGAATACTATGTTCACTCTCTGGGTGACAGGATCAACAGAAGCCCTAACTCCAGCATCATGAAATATACCCTCCCCTCTTTTTTTTTTTTTTTTTTGAGACAAGGTCTTGCTCTGTTGCCCAGGCTGGAGTACAGTGGCACAGTCATGGCTCCCTGTTGTTTTGACCTCCTGGGCTCATGCAGTCCTCCCACCTCAGCCTCCAGGTGCACACCACCATGCCTGGCTATTTTTAAAAATTTTTTTTGGTAGACATGGGGTTTTACCATGTTGCCCAAGCTGGTCTTGAACTCCTGGCCTCAAGGGATCTTCCTGCCTTGGTCTCCCAAAGTGCCAGGATTACAGGTTTGAGCCATTGCACCCGGCTGAAATATACCTTGAAACAAACCTGCACATGTACCCCCTGAAACTAAAATTAAAATAAAAAAGAATTTAACTTGTTATAGAGTTTCAGTCATCTCTCACATTTCCTCTGAAAAACTTATATATATATATTTTTCACTTACCATGTTAAAGTAAAATTTTACATGTAACATACATACAGAAAAGTAAAATACATATAGAAAAACGCACAACTCACAACTGGTGAATTTTCAGAAACAGAACACACCCTTGTAACCAGAATTAGACCATCCTAGGATCCCAGAGACCCTCTGGGATCCCTTCCTAGTCACCAGCCTTTCCCCAAAGTGTAGTGAATTTCTGTCTTCTAACACCTGTCTGTCAACGTTTCCAGGATTAGTTTTGTTTGCTTTAGTTCAATGTATTTTCAAAGCTTACAAAGATGCATGTGCAAGAACGTTCACTGCAATTTCGTTTATGATAGCAAAAGATGGAAAAGAATGAAAATGTCTATCAATAAGAGACTGAGTAAATTTATTATAGTCCTTCTTATAATAAAATTCTATGTAACCATTAAAAGTAAAGATCCAGATATGAATCTACTAACATGGAAAGATGTCCAAGATATGTCAGTAAAGTAGAAAATCAAGTTTTATATCTGTCTATCTATATCTCATTTATGTAAAAAAATTCGTATTGATTTGTGTGTTTGCAAATGCATAGCAAATATGTGTCCACTGTTCACAACTGGGAGAAGGGAATGGGCTAGGAAGGGTGGAAATTGCGCTTAAAAAATATGGGCATCTATTTTTTACAAGGAGCATGCATTCATTGTGGAATTTTAAAGGCAACTTAACAATTAAGAAAAAAACCCACAACACCTGAAACTTGCCTTTGGTGTTAACGCGGCTGAATTGAAAATTGTATTTATTTACTAATGAATTTTCACTGGCCTGTATCTATTAAACTGACAAATGTGCATCCTGTCTGACATAGAGATTCCCCTTCTTTGGGTATTCTCAAAGTAGCCTTTGTGTATACACACCAGAAGGCATCAGTGAAGATAGCCATTGTTTGTAAGAGCGAAACAATAGGAATAACGTCAGTGTCCAATCATAGAGGAAGAGCTAAGTAAACCATGATGTAGCCATTCACTAAATAATGTAGTAGTTAAGGAGAATGAGTGGCTCTATTTATTAGCATGAATAGGTCTCTAAGACAAATCTTTGAGTGCAAAAAGCAAGGTACCGAGTACTGTGCAAAGCATCATAACCCTCCTCTGGCTATGCATACATATGTACATAGGGCATATGAAAACATCTAGAAGGATGCATTCCAACCTGATGTCCATTTTATCAGCCCAGGAGGTGGTGAGTCTAATGTGCAAGGTTTCAGCCTGAGGGCTGAAGGCAGCCAGGTGTGAGCTTGAAATAACATGAACTTTCCTTCTCCTGAGCATGGACTTCCTGTCCGTTATGGCATGTAATCCTCAGAGGCTCAGAGAAGGGAAGGGACTTGTGCAGGGCCACACAGAGGGTAGGTGGCCGAGCTGGGATCAGCTCCAGGTGGGTTTGGCTTCAAAGCCCGTGCTCAGCCCACTTCTCCCTGGGGCAGGTGACGTGGAGGCTCAGGGGAGCTGGAGGGACTCAGTGGGGAGGGGAGGGGCCTCCTCCTCACCGGGTTCCCTGCTTGGTCTCAGAATTCCTCTCCTCACTCTGCTGAGCAGCCTGATGGGTGAAGAGCACTTTCAGGCCAGGGGCACAGACATGCTGGGGGTTCCCTTTAGGACATCCTTCTCAGCATTCCATCTCATCTGTGGAAGCTCTGGGCAGGAGGAAGTTCTTGTGGATATGGAGCTGGAATCTTCCTCTGTGGGAGTTCCCCACAAGCCCCAGTGTTGCCATCTGTGCCCTGTAGGCCGCTTGCTTCCTTAGAGGGATGGTGAGAGGGTGCCCAGCACTGCCCTTCTCCAGGCTGAGCCACCTCAGCTCCTCAAAGGGTGGGCCTCCAGCCACCTCCCTTTTGCAGTTATCTCCTCGAGACCCTTGCCCCGGGCTGGGCCTGTCCCCTCTGAGGTGGGCCTCCTAGGGAGGATCGGCTGCTGATAACCAGATGAGGCTGTCTTCTGGATTCTGTAGAATGGGAAGGAGATCCTTGGAGGAGAAGATGCCAGCTCTGCCGGGGTCTCGTGGGTCATGTGCTCCCAGGGTGACTTCAGGGAAGACCTGTCATGGTTCTCGACACTCCACAGCCTGGGCCACTTTTCACACTGCCAACACGGAACCAGAGTCTGTGGCCAGCGTGGCCAAGCCAGGCACCTCTGCTAGCAAGGCACATCGCTCGGTGGTTTCCGTAAGTTGGTGGTGGTTGCATAACTACTTCACCAACTGCCATGCCAGATATATTTTGCAACCCAGCCCGCTGTGCCACACACGTCGCGGGCACAGCCAGGCCTCCCACAGCGGCGGGAGGAAGTCTGAGAGTGAGACTCTGACAGCGCCTCCCAGGAGCCTTCCACAGGACACCGCCTCTCCCCAGGCCCTGCATGCACCCCCAGCTGGGCAGCGCAGGAGGCTCCTGGGGCCCCACTGTCCTCTGAGAGGACACCATCCTCTTGGGGATCAGGTGGAGATAGGCCCCGAAGTCCCACTGGAGGGAGACAGCCACCCTCAGTCCACAGGCTGGATCCCACACAGGCCACAAGCCTGGAAAGGACCTGCAGACACACGGGGGAAGCTCAGCATTGTTCCAGGAGGCATGGGAGGGGGGGCTCCAGAGCTAGTCCGGAGGACAGGTGGACCCATAGCCACCTGAGAGGAGAGAGGGAGAGTTCACCCTCATGCAGGAAGAGACAGGAAACTGCACCAGCCTGTGCGTCTCTCACCACAGAGAGCTGTGAATGGCCAGTGCTTAGGGCTTGGCTGTCTCCAGAGAGCATCAGAGCCCGGGGGGCATTTGTCCACACATTTGTCCATAGGCATTTGGGCCCCATCGTTCCAGGGATGAGGGTGATCCACATGGCTTTGTGGTGTTCCCAACCAGAAGTGAGGAATCTCTGGGGAAAAGGAGCCAAGGGCGGAGAGAGGACTGGGGACATTCCCATTCCTGCAAAAGTTGCTGTGGGAGTTGGGAGTGTAGTGAGCACTGTGGTGAGTCTCACAGGTTCCCTGCTCAGCCTCATGAGATTGGCTGAGCCTCTGTGGTGGCCACAGCCCAACTTCTCCCTCTGCTCAATCCTGCCTCCTTGTTCCTGCAACCAGATGCTGATTTTGAGGGCTCTTCAATAGACCTCTTGGAGCCTGCTCCGGAGGGAGCCCACCTAGCAAGTACTCGGACCACAGGGGCACAGAGGGGCCCAACTAAACAAAAGCAAACACGTAGGATTCCAACCGGCAGATGCTCTGCTCCCCATTGAAGCCAGTCTCTTCCAGCTTCTTCCCGTCCAGCCTCTCCCATCCGGCTGCCCGTGTTGGAGCATTGTTTGCACTGGCTTAAACCAAGAAAGGCACTGTCGGGCTGAAGGAGAGAGTGGTTGGCCATTACAGACAAGTGTGAAAGACCAGCGTCTAACTGAGGCTTTCTGGCGAGGACATCCCCACTCAGGAGATAGAACATTGGATGGAGAGTTTGCCTTTGGTATAAACACTTGTGAATTACTCTACTTTGGAAGATGTCTAGGACATTTTTGGAAAGAGGAAACCTTCTGATTGCCTTATAACTCCCATAGCAAAGGTTTGCCTTTACCACACCATGTCTAGGCGGAGCAAAACCGGGACTAGCCGTCAGCAGTTTTGCTCACCTATCCGGCAGGAGTGATTTCAAACACATGTCTAGGGTTGAATCATTTACCAAATGCCCTTCTGTTATTCATTGCAGCAGTAGGGATCCAAACTCTCTTTAAAATAAAAAAAAAGGTTGGGGAGAAAGGAGGTGTTGCTGCATGTAACAGAAAAAAAATCTAAGGGTGGTCTTTAGGTATGGTTTGATCCGGGGGCTTAAATGATGCTGTGAAAACCTTGTTTGCTTTCTATCTGTCTCTGGGGTCTGCTTGCTCTGCATGACTCCATTCTCAGGAAGCCTCTCCTCTGGTGTGGCAAACTAACTGCAGCAGTTCTGGCTTCATACTCCCCACTGTTAAAGAGGTAAGTGGGAAAATTAATATCTTTTCCAGCTGTCCAAGCAAAAGTCCTGGGACTCACTTTAATTGGCTTGAGTGACTTGGGTTTGGCCATCTCTGAACCAATCGCTGTGCCTTGAGAGAAATGCAGTGCCCTGATAGGTCATGCCTAACATTCCCCTGTAAACATTTCCTGAGTATCTGGCTGGTGTAAGGCCATGTCACAGGTCTGTGGATTATATAGATATCATGGCCATTCATTTGCCCTCAAGAAATCACTCTTCTAGTAGGGTAAACTGACATACAACAAGCTTAGAAAATAATCCATTATCTGATTTGATTCACACAAAGATCTTGTAAGAGAGACTGTTATATATATGAACTTATTCTGCAGATAAGGAAACAGAGGCTCAGAGAATTGAGTCCACATACAGCCTAACGGATGCCTGATGAATCCTGATGTTGGGAGCAGTAGAGCTTTCCCAGCTCTCGGCATGCCTGGTTGCTGAGAGACATGATGAGGATTGGCGGTCCCAGAAGAGTCCCAGCCCCTTGCACCAAGGCAGGAAGAATCCAAGTCCTGAAGCTCCCTTCAGCATTCAGCCCGGGGCAGTTTTGTTGAGGACGCATGAGCCCCTGAGGAGGCTCCCAAAATATCCTGTTATTTCTGCCGCAAGTAACAGAAAGCCTGGCGACTTCTGGCTTATGCATCAAAGAGTGGTTCTCTCATGTCACAGGGAGTCTGGAGGCATGCATTCTTGGGCTGGTTTAAACAGTGGACGGGGGACATCATCAAGAACCCCTTGACTGTCCATCTTCCCCTCTGCCAGCCTTGGCAGGTTCATTTTCCTCCCTAGGATTGGCTCTTCAAGGTCAGAAGGTGGCTGCATCGACTCCAGGATTCATATCACAGCCATGTCCAAAAGCCAGGTGAAGGCAGGGTCCCTTCCTGTGCACCTTTAGGAAGAGGAAAAAATTCCCCCAAAGCTCCCCAGAAGACCACCTCCCATGTCCAGTGGCCACAACTGTGGCACATGTCCATGCCTACTCAATATAGTACTCAAGTTCAGTGGCTATGACAAAGATCCAGAAATGACAGTGGCTTAAACAAAAGCAATGTCTATGTCTCTCTCAAGGAAAAGCCCAACTTGGTGGTCCTAGACTGATTTGTGTGTCCACAATGAACATGGACCCAGGTTCTTTCTATCTTGTGCCTCTGCCCCTTTCATCTGAGCCTTTTACCTTCTAACCCAAGGTGGCTACACCAGCTTCTGCCATCACATCTTCATTCCAGCCAGTAGGAAGGGGAGAAGGGATGGAGACACACCACTATCCCTTAAAGGTATGACCTGGAGGTTCAGGTGTAACTTTTGCTTATTTCCCCTCGGTTCAACGAATCTTGTGTCCACTCTGAAGTGCAAAGGAGGCTGGGCATGTAGGCTTTGTCCTGCTACTAAGGAAAGAAGAAGGAAATGGATATTGAGGAAGAGTGAGCAGCCTCTGCCCCAGCATGGAATCATGAGGAGGATTAATCTAGGCTAGACTGAGCTTCTTCCCAGTGGGCTGGGAAGCAGGAGCCAGTCCTCAGTGTCACAATGACCATCATTTATGAGGCCTACCATGTGTCGGGCACCGCAAAACACACACATTTTCACTTCGATCTCCGCTACTCAGCAGGGAGCAGATATTGTTTGAGTGACTCACCCAAAGTCACATGGTTACTAAGGGGTGAAGATGGGATTTGAACCCAGGTCTCTCTGATGCTGATGTCCGACTGTTTGTCTCCACACCACCCAGCTCCCCACATCTGCAGGAAGATCCTCTGGGGATAGGAGCTGGAGAAGGGGCAATGGACTTAAAAGCTCTATTCACAACAGTAGCTATTCCTTATCCAGGACTTTCTCAGTGCCAGGGACTTGCTATTATAGTTTGTATTATACACAGATTTTCTGTAAATTAGTAGTATTATCCCATTTTACAGAGGTGGACACTGAAGTTCAGAGCAATTATTTGTCTTATGGAAAAATCACATGGCCAGTAAATGACAGTCTCAGAATCTGAACCCAGATTTGTCTGACTTCAAAATAATTGATTTCTCTGTGGCACCAGGAAATTCATGAAATTGCGGCAGCTGAGAGGGTCAAGGTGTCCAACATGCCATTCACCAAAACTATGAGCCCTTGCAGGTCCTAATCTCCACCTTATCCAGCCCCATCCTCCCAGTATGCAGCACTGGGTCTGGCACAAACATCTCCTCCCCACCCCCACCACCGTTTCAGTTTGCAAAAGTTTTAAAATACAGAAAAATAAAAAGAGCAATCTCATAAAGACAGACTCCCCACAATGCACATTTTACTACTGGATAATCCAGGATCACCTCCCATCTCAAGATTCTTAACCTTAGTCACACCTGCTAAGTCCCTTTTGCCATGTAAAGTGACATATTCCCAGGTTCTAGGATTAGGATGTGGACACCTTTGAGGGGGCATTCTTCTGTCTACTGTCTCAGAGGGCATGGTAGGGAGTATCTCATTCTCTCTACTTTTGTGTAGGTTTGAAATTTTTCACAGTAATAAGTTAAAAGTGAGTTTGTACCATGCTGTGCCCTGGGGGCTGTGATTCTAGGAAGGGTGGTTGGGCAGGTCTCTCTGAAGAGGTGACATCCAAGCTAAGATACGATGCACACTGGGTGCTCCATGAGTGGCCCCTGCAGCGCAGGGAGGAGAAGCAGGAAGCAGGGACAGGTGGGAGGATCGTGAGAGCCCTGTTCCCTGGTTGTCTCGGCTGGGGGTAAGGGGCAGCCTGGGGCCCTGGACAGACCCTGTGCTCTGAGAAATGGGGCACAGGAAGCTTCTTGCACCTGGAAGCCCCTCACCACACTTTATTTGTACTCCCGGGGTCGCTCCAGGATGGGGCTGCCTGAGGGAGCTGTGTTCTGCACCCTGCTGGAGCCAGCCTGCTGTGGAACTGGTGGCACAGAGCAGGGCCTGGCCACCAAGGTCATTATAAAATGTGTTTTGTAGCCATTTTGTGCTGTAAAGGTTATTTGGAGCTCACTTTGTACCAGGCGTGATTTTAAACACCTTATGTATATGAGCGCATTTCACCTTCACTACCATCCTGTGGCGCAGGCTGTAGTGTCCACCACTTTCAGACAGTCTCTCGGCCAGGGTTCAACCAGAGAAGCAGAACCAGGGGGAAATCTACAGCAAGATGTTTATCGCAAGGAATTGGCTTATGAGATGGGGGTGGGAGTAGGGAGGGATGGCACGAAGTTGCTGTCCACAGATGGAACTTCTGGAAAGCCTCAGCTCTGCCCTTAAGGCTTTTCAAATGATGGAGTCCAGCCCACCCCAGTGATTAGGCTAATCTGCTTTACTTAAAAGTCAACAGATTATGAACTACTTTAATCCCACCTGTGAAATACCTTTATGGCAACACTCAGACTTGTATTTGATTGAAGAACTGAGACTGTAGCCTAGCCCAATGGACACATAAAACCACCATCACTGCTGGGGAAACTGAGGCACAAGGCAGTGAGACCATCTGGCTAAGGTCTTGCAGTGAGTAAATGGCAGTATCAGGACTTGAACCTAAGGATCCTCAGCCCTCTTCCACACTGCCTGTCTCAGCCACTTGCTGGTCAGGAAGTTAACCTTGTCCCTGGCTGCCTTCCGCTGTCTTGTCATATGGGGTGTGATGGATGTGCTGGAGCCGGAAGCACATCAGACCTAAAATGTGGGGGCTTCAGGCAGGTGGATGTCATGGCTGGGAGCACCTGTTCTGCAGCTGGATTCGTGTTCTGGCTCTGCTCATGATAGTTGTGTGATATTATTGGGCAAGTTATTCAACCTCTCTGTGCCTCAGTTTCCTCATATGTAAAATCTGCATAAAATGGTACCTGACTCATTTTGTGGGGATTACATGAGATCATAGACATAAGACACTCAGAATAGTAAGAAGTCAATGAATATCAGTTTTAAAATTCTAGTCCAATAGCCCACTGCCCCCTCCCTCAACTGCCTGGCTCAGCCCCAGGGCTTCCCCAGAGCTGGCTGCCTCTCTGCCCTGCAAACCCCCGGCCCATCAGGAAGCTGCTGATCATGTTCCCTGGGAGGCTACCCTCCTAAGGGTGGATGTGTGGAGGCAGCTCCTCCAGTTGAGGCAGCCCCCAGAGACATATGGTTTTGGCACTGCACTGCATAGGGCTGTGTGCTGCCAAGGAGCGGGCACAGAAGCCTGGCCCAGCCTGGCCCCCCTTGGGCTCAGCAGGTGCTCCAGGCATGAGGAGAGGCTGAGATGGAGAAGGAAATCTACCGTGGGGGAAGGCAGGCTCTCAGGAGGCAGGACTGGCCACGGAACCCTGGGGGGCATCAGGGATGGAGTGTGGCCCAGGTGGGTGGAGGCAACTGGGCAAGTACTCCAGGACAGAGACTCTGGCAACAGAGATAGTGGCCTCTAGCAACCTTTGCTAAGGGAAGAAGGACCAGACTGGCTCCCACCCTAACCTACTCCTGAGCCTCAGTCACTCTCACTGCCTCTGCTCCTGCAACCTTCTCTCCAAAGTTGGTCTCAACACCGAGCCCCTGGCACCGTTGCAGGACTTTCTCCCTGCTCTATCAGTTAGCACTGCTGCGTAAGAAACCACTCCAAGGCTTGGTGGCCTAAAGTGACAACCATCTGTTATTGCAATGAGTCCATAGGAACACCTGAGTGGTTCTACTGATCTGGGATGGGCCTAGATAATCTTGTCCCTGTCTCTGTAGTTTTGCTAGAATGTCATATAAACAGAACCACACAGTATGTGACCTTCGATCCTGGCTTCCTTCACGCAGTGCAACTGAGGTGCATCCATGTTGTTGCATGTATCAGTAGTTCATTCCCTTTTATTGCTGTGTTAGTTTCCTGTTCTTAACTTTAACAAATTACCATGGTGGCTTAAAACAATGCAAATTTATTATCCTGCAGTTCTGGAGGCCAGAAGTCCTAAAGTCAAGGTGTTGGGGTGGGGGGCGGGGCTGGTTCCTTCTGCAGGCTCTGAGAGGAAGATTGACTCCTTTCCTTTTTCAGCTTCTAGTAGCTGCCTGCCTGCCTGGCTCATGCCCCCTTCCTCTATCTTTTCTCCAGTCTCTGCTTCCAGCCTCATGTGGCTGTCTCCTCTGACCCCACTTCTGCCTCCCTCTTATGGGAACCCTTGTGATTGCATGGTGCCCATCTGGATAACTCATGATCATCTCCCCATATCAAGATCCTTAATTTGATCGCATCTGCAAAGTCCCTTTGGCATGTGAGGTGACATAGTCACAGGTTCTGGTGATATGACAGGAGCATCTGTGAGGCAGCCATTATTCTGCCTGCTGCAATTACTGCTAATAGCTCAGTTTGAGCTTGCAGCAGTGGGAGGACAAGAGCATGCACTGAGATTCTCCAATCAACCAACTTTTCTCCCAGCAAAAACTGGGAAAGCATACTGCACTGTAAGGTGAACTAAAAAAATTAAAAAATTAAAATATTTTAAAAAGAAAAAGAAAAACTCCTTTATTGGGTTTTAAAAATACTTATTTTTTAAAATAACTTTATTGAGATATAAATTACATACAATAAAATTGTAGTGTTGGATGAATTTTGATGATTGAGTGCTTTATTTTGCATTTTCTAGAATTTCATTAAAAAGAACCATACAATATATGATCTTTTGTGTTTGACTTCTTTTCTTTAGCATGTTTTTGAAATTGATTCTTGTCATTGTGTGATTTAATATTTTATTCCTTTTTATTGCTGAGTAATAATTCATACTATGGATATACCACAAATTTGCTTACCCATTCCCCCAGCTGGGGGCCATATGGGCTACTTCCTGTTTGGGGTTATTATGAATAATGCTGCCATAAACACTTGCATAGAAGTCTTTGCATGGACATGTTTTCATTTCCCTTATGTATCTATGGCTAGGAGTGGATTTGCTGAGTAACATGATAAATTATGGTTAATATTATAAAACACTGCCATACTGTTTTCCAAAGTAGCTATACCAGTTTGCATTCCCACAGTGTATGAAAGTTACAGTTGCTCCACATGGTCTTCAACGCTTGTTATTGTCAGTCTTTTTAACTTTAGCCATTTTTTGTGAGTATATAGTGCCTTTAATTTGCAGTTCCTTAAAGACAAGTGATGTTGAGTATCTTGTCATGTTCTTACTGGGCATTCATACATCTTCTTTTATGAAGTGGCTGTTCAAATCATCTGTCCACTAAAGAAAAAATCAGATAGCATGTCCTATTATTGAACTGTAGGAGATTTGTTTTTAGAAAAACTAAATTCTGGATACAAGCCCTTACCAGATATCTATTTTTTTCAAGTATTTTTTCCAAGTTTGAGGCTTGATCTGAGTTCCAACATTAAGAAATCAGAAAAAGAGAACAAAATAAGTTGAAAAAAGAAGTAAAATGAACAGAAATCTATGAAATAGACAATAGAGAAATCATAGATAAAATCAGTGAATCCAAAATCTGGTTCTTCTAAATGAACAATAAAATTGATAAGCCTACAACTTGATTGCTCAAGAAAAAAGATACAAATTACCAATATCAAGAATGAAAGAAGAGACATCATTAGAGATCCTACAGGCATTTAAAGGATTATAAGAAAATGTGAACAAATTTGTGCCAATAAATTTGGCTACCTAGATAAAATGGACAATTGCCTTGAAAGACATGAATTGCCAAAACTGGTCCAGAAGAAATAGAACTTTTGAATAGTTCTCTATCAATTAAAGAAATTGATTTTGTCATTTAAAACCTTTCCACAAGAAAACATTAAGGAAAAAATAATATAAATCCTGGCCAGGTGCGGTGGCTCAGGCCTATAATCCCAGCACTTTGGGAGGCTGAAGTGGGGGGGGATCGCTTGAGCCTAGGAGCTTGAGACCAGCCTGGGCAACATGTTGAAATCCCATCTCTAAAAAAAATAAAAAATTAGCCAGGCTTGGTGGTGTGCACCTGCAGTCCCAGCTACTTGGGAGGCTGGGGCAGGGGAATCGCTTGCACCCGGGCTGCAGTGAGCCATGTTAGTGCCACTGTACTCCAGCCTGGGTGACAGAGATGAACCCTGTCTCATAGTCATCATCATCATCATCATCATCACCATCCTACATGAACTATTTCAGGAAATATAAGAGGAAGAAATACCTCTCAACCAACTTTATGAGGTAAGTATTATCCTGATAGCAAAAACAGACAAGAGCATCACAAGAAAAGAAAACTAGGAACCCAAATCCCTCATGAACATAAATGAAAATGTCTTCAACAAAACATTAACAAATTGAATACAGCAATATATGAAAAAGATAACATCATTACCAGGTAGGGCTTATTCTAGGGAGGCAAAGTTGATTCAATATCCAAAAATCAAAGAAATTCATTACATTAATACAATAAGAGGTGGAAACCATATGATTATTTTGAAAGATGCAGATAAAGCATTCAATCAGATTTAACACTGATTCCCAATAAGAATTCTCAGCAAAAGAGGAACAGAAGGGAGTGTCCTCAGTTTAATGAAGGACATCCATGAAGAACCTACAGTTAACATGATCCTCAATGATGAAAGGCTCAATACTAAGATTAGGAACAAGGTGCAGACATCTCTCACAGCTTCTAGGCAACATTTATACTGAAGGTCCTAGCCAATGTAATAAGGCAAGAAAAAGAAATAAATGGCATAAGTATAGAAAAGAAAGATGTAAAATTGTCTTTATTTTTAGACAGCATGATTGCATGCACAGAAAACTCTTAAGGAATGGGGGCTAGGGAAAGCTAGAAGTAATAAGTGAATATAGCAAGTTTTTAGGATAAAAACCAACATATAGAAATCCATCATATTTCTATATACTATCAATGAGCAATTGGAAAGTGGAATTTAAAGAATAACTCAGTTTACAATATCACTAAAGATAAAACACTTAGGAATAAATTGAGCAAAAGATGTGCAAGATCTGTACACTCAAAACTATGAAACCTCACAAAGGGAAATTGGAGATCTAACTAAATGGAGAGATATACCCACATGCATGAACTGGAAGCCCCCATATTGTTAAGATGATAATTATCCTCAAATTGATCTATACATTCATTGCAATCCAAATCAAAATCCCACATCTTTATTAAGAAGAGAAATGGACAGCTTAATTAAAAAATTTATATAGAATGGCAAAGGACCTAGAAGAGCCAAAATAATCTTGGAAAAAGATGAAGTTCAGAAAGATAACACAATCTGCTTTCAAACCTTTCTAGAAAGCTATAGTAATCGAGATGTTGTGGTATTGGTGTAAGGATAAACCATAAATCAGGCTGGTCTCAAACTCCTGATCAATGAAGAAGAAACCAAAAATACTCACACTTATATGGCCAATTGATTTTTTACAAAAATACCAAGGTACTTCAATGGGGGAAAATATTGCTATTTAGACATATGGTGCTCAAACAAGTAAATATCATTATGGTAAAAAAAAAATCTAACCTTTATCTTGCAACATTCTAAAAAATTAACCAAAAGAGATTATAGATCTAAACATAAGCGCGAAAACTCTCAAAGTCTGGGAGAAAACATAGGAAAAAAATCTTAGTGACATTGGGTTAAGCAAAGATTTTAAAAATAAGACACAAAAGGCACAATCTATAAAAGAAGAATTATAAAATAGACTTCATTTTTATTATTTTAATCACATACTTATAATACATTCTTTTTTTGTTGTGTTTTTAGACAAAGTCTCTCTCTGTTGCCCAGGCTGGAGTGTAATGGCACCATCTTGGCTTACTACAACCTCTGCCTCCTGGGTTGAAGTAATTCTTTTGCCTTAGCCTCCCAAGTAGCTGGGATTATAGGCGTGCACCACCACATCTAGCTAATTTTTGTATTTTTAGTAGAGACGAGGTTTTGCCATGTTGGTCTTGAACTCCTGACCTCAAGTGATCTGCCCACCTTGGCCTCCCAAACTGCTGGGATTACAGGGGTTAGCCACTGTGCCCAGCCTTATAATACATTCTTTATTAGATTTTTAAGGTGTTTTTTTAGATTACAAAAGAAATATAATGTTTGTTATTACAATTCAAATGATGCCACTTTTAGACAAATAGGTAACCCTAAAGAATGGACATATATATATATATATATATATACACATAATATCATACACGGTTTTAAAATATGAATGGGGCCATAATATGTCTATTATTCTAAAATTTGATTTTAAATACTCAATTTTTTTAGAGCAGTTTTAGGTTCTCTGCAAAATTGGGAAGAAGGTACAGAGAGTTCCCATATATACACTCCCTGCTCCCCCACTGAAGTAGCTGTGGAGTGACTTGTAAAGAAATTGTGGAAAACATTCCCTATCAGCACATAAATGAACCAATTATTTAAAAAGGTGGATGAAAAGCCATGTTGTGGTTATAATCAACATCTATTTAATCAGTCCATATTTATGGACTTAAAGATGTTTCTGGCCAGGCGTGGTGGCTCACGTCTGTAATCCCAGCACTTTGGGAGGCCGAGGCAGGCGGATCACAAGGTCAGGAGATAGAGACCATCCTGTCTAACACGGTGAAACCCTGTCTCTACTAAAAATATAACAAATTAGCCAGGCGTGGTGGTGGGTACCTGTAGTCCCAGCTACTCGGAAGGCTGAGGCAGGAGAATGGCATGAACCTGGGAGGCGGAGGTTGCAGTGAGCCGAGATCGCACCACTGCACTCCAGCCTGGGCGACAGAGTGAGACTCCATCTCAAAAAAAAAAAAAAAAAAAAAAGATGTTTCTAATGCTTTTATTGTTTTTTCATTTATTTTCTTAAGTGCTAGTATTTCTGAACACTGTATTACTAAGGGTGTGATTGTGGGTATGTACAATTTACATTAACATAGATTCCAGGCAATTGCTCTCCCAAAAAGGTTGCTTCAATTTATATTCCTGCCAATAGTGTAGAAGAATGCTTACTTTCCTGTAGGCTTGCCGTTGGATGGATATTATTGCTCTTGTTATTTGCATGAATTTTTTTTTTGCCAGTCTGCTAACTGAAAAATGGTATCTCATCATTGTTTTAAGTTTTCATTTATTTGATTATGAATAAGGGCATACTTTTCATAACTTAATTGACCACTATATTTCTTCCTGTGTGAATTGCCTATTTTGCTACTGGTTTTTTTTTCTTTTTCTTATTTTTTTTGGGAACACTTTGCATATTGTAGATATTGATTCACTGTATACATTGCAAATATTCTCTCGATCTATTTGTTTATCTTTTAAACTTGTTTACAGTATCTTCACCAGGCAGAAGTTGAAATTTTTATATAGTCCAAGGAATCCAAGGAAGCATTCACTTTTTACAGCTTCTGCTTTCTGTGCAATGCTCAGAAAATCACCTCCCACCCCAAAGTCATAAGAAAGTTGTACATTCTATCTAGCATGTAGTACATTTCAACTACAACTATAATTGTATTTTAACTACATTTTCAATTTCAACTGTATTCCTGCTTCAACTGTATTGGTGACATTTTAATACTTAATATATAAGCTAGGTGTTGGGTATATAGGTGTTTTTTATATTATTCGATCTAATTTTTTGTGTGCCTGAAGTATATATATGTATATACACACACATCTCTCTCTCTCTCTCTCTCTCTCTCTCTCTATATATATATATATATATATATATATATATGTAATTTTTTTTTGAGACAGTGTTTGGCTCTGTTGCCCAGACTGGAGTGCAGTGGTGTACTCATAGCTCACTGCAATCTTGAACTCTTGGGCTCAAGCAATCCTCCTGCCTCAGCCTCCTGAGTAGCTAGGACTACAGGCATGTACCACATAGCCTGGCTAATTTTTTTTAATTTTTATTTTTAGTAGAGAAGAGCTCTTGCTATGTTGCCCAGGCTGGTCTTGAACTCCTGGGCTCAAGCAAGCCTCCCTCTTCAGCCTCCCAAAGTGCTAGGATTACAGGTGTGAACCACCATGCCCAGACTACAATATATATATATTTAAAAATAAAGACAGGGAAATGCCTAATACATTTTTGATGGAGGCTGGGTGCGGTGGTTCATGCCTGTAATCCCAGCACTTTGGGAGGCTGAAATGGGCAGATCACTTGAGGTCAAAATTTTTTTGATGGAGTTGTACTGCCCCAAAACTTCAAGTCTGGTAAAAACAAACAAACAAGCAAACAAAAAGCAAAACAAAACACAAAAACAAGACAAAAATTTTTTTGAAAAAGTCTGTGATGTTATTTCCAAGCCCAAGCAATCTCTGCAGTCTAGAATCTGCACCATTAGGAACTGGCCACTAGAGAACTGAGATCCCCAATGCCCACTTCAGATGTGGGAATGGTGAAGGGTGGGCAGGGAGTACTCGTTTTCCTCCTAGAGGGCAGGGCTGGGCAGTTGAACTGGCTGCCCAAGAAACTCAACATTTTTTTTTTTACATCTTTATTGATGTTAAACAAATCTTTTACATCTTTATCTATATAATTCACGCACTATAAAATTCACCCATTTAAGATGAACCATTCAATGCCATTCAATGCTTTTTAGTATATTCACGCAGTTGTACATCCATCATCACATCTAAGTTTAGAACACTTTCATTGCCCCCAGAATAAACCGTGTTCCTGTTAGCAGCCACTTTCCATTCCTCCCTCCCGCCAGCCTGCAGCAACTACTAATCTGCTTTCTGTCTGGAAATGGAATCACACAAAGCCTTTTATGTCTGGCTTCTTCATTACTTTTTAGGGCCATATAATATTCCATTGTATAGCTATGCCATATTTTGTTTATCTATTCATTAGCTGATGGGCATTTGGGCTATTCCCATTTCTCAATTATTATAAATAATGCTGCTATGAACATTGTGTGCAAATTTTTCTGGGGACACATGTTTTCATTTGCCTTGGGTAGATACCCAGGAGTTGTAATCCTGGGTCCTGTGGTAGCTCAATGTCTAACATTTCTCAGTATTTTTCTAGCAGGGCTTTGGATGTGCTGCAGGCTAGGGGTCTCCCATCCTCCTTTCCCTTACTGGGGGTTGACATGGCACTTTTCCTTCCCTCTCTGCACAGGTGAGGTTGGGAGTGAGGGGGGCCTTAAGCCTAGACTGTAACACGGTCACTGGGGTCCAGCTCCTGGAGCCGGACCTGTCACTGGGAGAGACAGTGTTACCTCCAGTATTCATTTTCCATTGCTGCTGTAACAAAGTGCCACCAACTGAGCAGCTTCAAGCAACATCCATTTAGCATCACAGTTTCTGTGCACTGCAAGTCTGGGCAGAGAGTGCCTCAACTGTATTTTCTGCTTAGGGGCTTACAAGGCAAAATCGAGGTGTTGGCAGGCTGGGCTCTTTCCCGGAGGTGCTCATTAGGGTTGTGAGCAGAATTCAGTCGCTTATGATTGCAGGCCTGGGGTCTCCATTTCTTTGCTACGTGGCCTGAGGCTTCCTTTGTTTTCAAAGCAGCAGTCGCGCTTTCCATCCTTCCTTCCCAAGCTTTAAATCTCCCTTTCCCCCATGCTGTCTCTTTCCAATGTCCTTTCTACCTCTGCCACCAGCCATGGAAAGTTCTCTGCTTTTAAGGGCTTGTGTGACCCACTGAGCCCATGTGGATGATCCAAGACACTCTCCCTATTTTAAGGTCAACTGACGAGCAGCCTTAATTACATCTGCAAAGTCTCTTTTGCTACGTGAGGTAACAAATTCATGGGCATTGACAGTTTCCAAGGATGAGGGTGGCATCTGTGGGGAGCTGTGCATACATCTGTGCTGCCTAGCACACCTCCCCCAGAGGGAGCATGGGAAGAAGCATGTGCATGGATTTTGGACAGGCAAGGGCGTGGGCCGGGGTGGGTTTCTGCCGTTTCGCCACCCAGCATCCATTTCCATCCTTCTGAAACTGCATCTTGATTTTCCACTGGGGGCACCGCTCTGCCCCAGCCAGCTGTGCTTTGTGAAGAGGTTGGACTTGGGGCTTGGGGCTCAGGCCTGGCCAGTCTGACCATGGTGCCTTCCTGACCCCAGAGGCCAGGTCAGGGATGACAGACACATGACCCAGCTGAAGCTAATGAGAATCTGCAGAAGCTTCTGGAAGAAGACCTCACATTCTTCCCACTGGACTTGGCCACAAAAGGGTGCAGGGGTTGGAGCTGCTGCCACCATCTTGCAGCCACGGCGGCAGAGTCCGTTGGAGAATGGCACCGCCGTGGCAGGGAGAGAAGCCTGCGTGCTCGTCTGGATGTTGTCAGCACCCCGATTAAGGCCACCTGAGACAGTCCACCCTGGAGCGTTCAGTTTTGTGAGCCCAAGAATTTTCTTTTTCCATAAATATGTATAGTCACATGAATGCCTCAAGTGTGTGTTTAGTCTTGAGGGTACACATCTGTGAAAACATGACCTTTGGGTGTGGGGTGCTAAGTGGGACTAAGACCCAGAGAGACAAGAGCCAGAGCATGGGTGCCGGGTGCCCCACGTGTGGGGACAGGTTGTGCTGGAGGGAGAGGCTGGAGGCTGTTTTTATAGAAGAACTGGGTTTTCTCCCCCATGTTCATAACTTTTAATTTTGATGCAATTTCCCATATACCCTTTACCTAGATTCACCAATTGCTTACAACTTGTCCCACTGGCTGTACCATTCTCTCTATATTAATATGTACGGAGACACACGCATATTTCTCCTGAACCATCTGAGAGTATGGTGGAGACATGATGCCTCTCTACTATTGTATATTTCAGTGTTTGTTCCCTAAAAACAAGGACATTCTCTTACATAAACACATATGCTTATCAGAGCTAGGACAATTTGCATTGATATGATACTATGATCGAACCCCACAATCCATATCTAAACGTCAATTGTCCCAAGAATGTCCTTTATAGCTATTTCTGTCCTGCTCTAGGATCCAGTTCAGGACCCCACATTGCATTTATTGGTCATGTCCCTTTAGTCAAGGAGGTGACATGTGAACATGGCTTGGAAACTCTAGTGGGTCCTTGACATCCCCAGGAGTGAAATCCAGAAGAGCTATTTGAATGGCCTCATACATACGTGTTCTTTGGTGACTTGCCTTTTTCTCTCACAGTATTGTTGGGAGGTACATCTGCGTTGATGCGTGACACTGTTGTTCGTCTTCATTGCTGTCGAGTATTCCATTGTGTGGGCATGACATGGTTCATTTATCCTTTCTCCTGTGAATGGACCTGGGTGGCTCCCAGGCGTTGTTACTGTGGTTGTGTTTATATCAGTGGATGCTGCTGAGATTTTACCTGTGCAGGGAACTGCTGAGCTCACCTGTACACACGTCCTTGTTAGTGTTGCCAAATTCTCTTACAAAGTGCACTTTCCAAAAAACACTCCCACCAGTGGCGTGCAGAGCTCCTGCTGCCCCACCTGTCCACTCACATTTGGACCTGTCAATTAATTTAATTTCTTCCTGCAGGATGTGGATGAAGCCATCCCCACGCATTTGCCGGGCCACAGGAATATGCTTCCTATTCCTTTGCCAGTGGTTGGTAGCATCCATGTACTTTGCACAGGTTTTGCCACAGTTAGAGTGCATAGAGGGCAATGGCAAGCAGAGCCCCAGCCCTGGCTGCATGGCTGTTTCTCTCTTCCTGTCTGTCTGTCTCTGTCCTTTCTCTCCCTGATGAGGACATGCCCACTCTCTGCCCTGGTGGGATAGGAGCTCATCATGGAGGATTCTGGGTGTTGATGGAGGCTGAGAGAGAGGCCAGGCTCCACTGGACAGGGAATGAAGCAACTTGGGCTAAATCCTCCAATTGGGAGGCTCCTCTCGGATCCTGGCCAAGCAGAATGCCACGGCCATAACATGCCTCCCTTTGTGGGCCTAGCACCTAGGAGCCCTCACAGGTACAAGAGTTGTTTTGTGGACTCTAAACAGCTTCTATAGGTGCTAAGGTGAGTTGAGAACCCCAATCTATTCATCCACTGTTTATTGAGGTCCTACCGTGTGCCAGGCTGTGCCTTTGAAGCTCCAGATGCAGAAGATAACAAGACAGATGAAGTCACCAGTGCCAGCCCCGGGCTAGTTTGCCCTTAGCTCTTGTTATCCCATCCCTTGGCTCTGTGTCACCCATCAGGGAGGGGAGCTTAGCCCCAAGGTGTGAGGCCAGCTGGATTCCTGCTGGATTCAGCCAATGAGAGGCCCTGGAGTGAACAAGGGAGGAGCCAGGGTATTCTCCCCCTTCCTCTTCATCTCAGGTGGCATCTCTGGTGTGGCTCTGTCTTTCCTACAGCTACAGCTCCCACTGGACAGGCCTGCTGAGTCTCCCTGTGTCACCCAGGCCTTGGGCTCTGGTAATGCCATCTCCTCCCATTGCCCCTCCAACCCTGGGGAGGTAACAGCTTCTTGCTCCTAATTTCTGTGCTGCCTCATTGTCCCCTGTTCTTAGCAATTCCATCACCTGCACAATCACATCTCTGAATTTTAACTTTTAAATTAAGCTTTACACTTTTCAAGTGACTTCTATTTCCTTGGTGGGACCCTAGAGATACTCTCCCTCTCTTCGTGTTGTGTATATTAGAGTGGAGAGAGATGGATGATGAACAAATTAAGAAACAAATAGTTATGGTAAATGATGTGAAGAAAATGAAACAGGGTATCCTCTTGGGGAGGGAGCTCATCCTTGGAGGGTTGGGGCAGAGAAACACCATTGAGGAGAGCAGCAAGGTGTGCAGCTAGAAGAGCAAACAAGGACGCCTCATTTACTGGGCACCTACTATGTGTCAGCCCCTGTGCCATGTCCTACAAAAGACCTGATTATGTCTTTTGCAGTTAGTTTTGTGGAAACTGGCATGCAGCAGAGGTTCAAAACAAAACCTCTTCAAAATCACGTCAGTCATTACATAAACTCTTGACATAGATACTTTTGGCAGAGACTGTCAGGTATCTTCCAAAAGCTATTATTCCTCCATAGAATTTTAGCTGAGCACATGATTTCCCAGAGCAAGACTACATTCCCTAGCCTCCTTTGCAGCTAGATATGGTCATGTGACTGTGCTTTAGCCAATGGGATACAAGTGGATGTGTCAGCTTTCAGGGGACTTCCTTAAGAGACAGCTGATGTGAACATTTTGTTCTTTATTCACTTCCTCCTTGCTGCTCCCTGGAATGTAGATACAATGGTGAGGCTGTAACAGCCATCTTGGAATGTGAGGCGACGAAAGCCAACCTTGCTTTCTGACACCAGGGAGTGATATAGTAGCCCTGGATTGCCTACCTGTGAATTTTCACATGACAGAAAAAAAAATTTGTATCTCCTTGTTATGTGCAGCTGAATCTCATCCTAGCAACACAGTACTAATATTTTTATATGATAGGTGAAGAAACTGAGGCTCGAGGAGGGGAAATAACATAGCCCTGGGACTCAGAGCTGATCTTACAGCAGAGTAGGGACTCAAATTCAAGGCCATCTGCTATCAAGACCCTTTCGGCTCCACTATCCTACTCATGCATCCTGCACTCATACGGGCGTGTATAAGAATTCCCAAGGAGGTGAGTCGATCCTGCGCACAGTGGCAGCCCCATCTCTGTCTTGCTTCCCAATCCAATAGGTATATGTGGCCCTTTGCTCATTACTATTGTTCCATCTGTCTATTGCTGCTTTAAAAATGACCCCAAAACTCAGTGGCCTAAAACAGTTCATTATTATTATATCTCACAAACTGGGTAAAGAATCTGGATGGGCGGTGCAGGGATAGCTCGTATCTGCTCTGTGATATCTGTGTCCTCAGTGGGGATGACTCAGATGGCTGGGGGCTGGGGCAATGGGAACTGGTCCGGCAGCTCTTTCGCCACCATGGCCTCTCCACCTGGCTCCAGCCTCCTCACATCATGGTGGCCTCAGGGCAGTTGGATTTTTAACATAGCAGCCCAGGACTCCCAAGGAGAGACTTTCAAGAAGCAAGGAGTGGGCGCTAATCATCTCTTCAGGCCTGGGCTGGAAACTGCAGTGTCACTGCTACCGTATTCTCCTGGTCAAGTCATCTCAGAGCACACCCACATTCAAGGCCCCAAGTATATGAGGGTGTAACAAAGACCTGGTGGGCATCTTTAATCAGCCATGCCTGTGACCACCAGGACTCTTTCAGTTGTAAGAGGCAAAAACCCGGCTTCAGATTGACCGGAGGGAGAGAACTGGGAGTTGTCATTGGCTCATGTCACTGAAAAGGCCAGGGCTCTAGCTGGCTTCCGGCACTGGGGCTGAACGCTCGGGAGCCAGTCTGTCTCTGTCTCTGCTGCTCTGTGTTGGTCTCACTCTCCGGCAGGCTCTCCTGGGTGGCAGTAAAGATGGCCACCGCAGCTCCCAGTGCCACATGACCCCAGCAGGAGGGCAGTCCCCGAGGATTCTTGCCAAGTTTCCAGGTTGGACTCTCCATGGATCCTCCAGAGTCATGTGCCCAGAATCAATCAGCCAGGATGGCTCTGACTGGCTGGGCCAGAGGTGGGTGCTCCACATGGACCACCTTGAACTGAGAGTGGGAGGGGGTGGTCCCTGGAGGGAAAATCTGGGTGCGGCTACCTGGATATGGACACACAGATGCTGCTGCAGTGATCCACTGGATGCCCAGTTCTGGGCCCCTGCTGTGTCCCATGCAGGTGGTCTGGACAGGCACAGGGCTGACCCGTGGTCCTTGCATGGAGTCCCGAGTTCCCCTCCTCTAACATCCCAGGCCTTGGCTCCGGATGGCCCCATGTTCTGGGCCTCAAGCATTCATCTCTGGAAGGGCAAGACCTCTGGGACCTCTTGCCGGGAGCTGCAAAGCCTGGAGACCGGCCTCTCAGGCTTGCCTGCTGGCCCTGGGTAATCTTCATCCTGACCCCAGGCTGCAGGGCTTCCAGAACCCACCTGTGCTCCAGCTGTCACCCACAGTTCATCAGGAGGTGGTCCAAGAAGGTGACCAGGCCCAAAGTATGAGGAAGCCATGTGGTATCTGGGTACAGGGACAGCTAGTGCCAATGTTCTGGGGTGGATGTGTGCCAGCTGTTTGAGAAACAAGAAGGAAGCCAGTGGGGCTGGAGTGGAGCAAGCAAAGGGAATGAGACCAAAGAGGCCAAGAGGGACCCGGGTGCTGCGGGAGGGTGTGGCGCAGATGGGACAGGTTTGACTTACATCTTTTTTTGTTTTTGTTTGAGACAGGGTCTCACTCTGTTGCCCAGGATGGAGTGCAGTGACACAATCAGCCTCACTGAAGCCATGACCTTCTGGGTTCAGGTGATCCTCCCGCCTCAGTCTTCAAAGTAGCTGGGACTACAGGCGTGCGCCACTGCGCCTAGCTAACTTTTGTATCTTCTGTAGAGATGGGGTTTAACTGTGTTGCCTAGGCTGGTCTTGAACTCCTGGGCTCAAGCAATCCACCCACCTTGGCCTCTTGAAGTGCTGGGACTACACGCGTGAGCCACTGCACCTGGCCTGACTTCTATCCTCACGGGCCCCCGCCGGCCACTGTACTATGAACAGAAAGTGGGGAAGTTGAGGACTTCCAGCAAGGAGGCTATTCCAGTAGTCCAGGCGAGAGCTAGGACCAGGCCGGCTGCTTGTTGAGGCGGGAAGTGGTCAGGTTCTAGAATGACAGACGGGAGGCTGGTGTGTGAGGAGGGGGCAGGCAGGGCCCAGGCCTGGACCCTGGCTGCCACCTCCTCACTTTCTAAGGAATGGACTTTCTGGTCACCTTCATGCTCACTCCGACTCCCTACTCATCCAGTCCCTCCTGCCCACAAGGTGGCAGGGCAACTTCCAAAATGCACATTGAGCCCAGCACACCAAGGTAGCTAACGCTAGACACTCTTTCCTTCTTAATGTTCGATGCATTTATTTCCATGTGATTCAGAACATACACAACTAGCTCACTGACCCTTGATTTCGGCAGTAATATAAATTTGCCTTTTAGAAATAATTTGGTTTACAAAGACATGAACTGATTTTAAAAAAAATGATTAAGGAATCGGGGGAGGAAGAGATGCAGCAGAAAGACCTGGGCAGAAACCCGTGAAGATGGTGCTGGGAATGACCGGGCTTTGGGGGCTTGGGCCTGCGGCAGAGCACCAGCCCCTCTCTGTGCATTCCTGGCCCACGGGCCCCCACCCCTGTGCTCCCACACACCCAGGTCTCCACCATCATCCCAGCCTTGGGGAGCCCTACCTTTTCCAGAACATGCTGGGCTGCTCCACCCCTTGGCCTTTGCATGTGCTCTTCCCACTCTCCAGATGGCACAGGTTGTCTCCAAGATATTTTGCAGGACTGTTAGTCATTTATGTTTTTTACATTCAAAGTTTTAATCCATCTGAAGTTGATTTGGATCTCTAAGACGAGTGCAATTTTATTTTATCCCAGATGGATATTCAGTTGTGGCTGGTACCACTTACTTCACAGTCTGCCCTTCTCCCACCGAATCAAAATACTACCTTTGGCATATATCTCATTCTCATATATCCTGAAACTTATTTTTGTATTCTCCATTCCTTTCCATTGTCTAGTCCTCTGCCAATGCCATATTGATCTGATTACAGTGACTTTGCAGTATGGTCTTATTTCCAGGAAGGCAAAACCCCCACAGCAGTCTTTTTTCCAGTCTTCCCTGGTAATTCTTGGGCATTTATTCTGCTGCATAATCTTTCAGATCATTTTATCTAGTTTTTTAAAAAATCACCCTGTTGGTAATGGAATTTGAATTACATTAAATTTATATGGAAAAAATGGGAAAATTGACATTTTTCTGATATTAAGTTTCCCCATCCAAGAGCATGTCTTGCTCTTTTTTAGATCTTATTTTAAAATCTGTCAGAAGATTTAATTCCATCTGTTTCCAAACTTTTACTTCATATGCTTCATTTTCATAAACGATAGACAGTGCCCTTTCGTGATGAAAATCCTGCCAGTTCTTTCTTCAGCTGAAATGCTGTGTGCCTTGTGAACATCAGCATGGATGCCTGCAAAGGAAAGGTCATGTGGCGTCCACCTGAAAAAAGGTCCCAGCATCTGCTATGTGGTACCCTCAGGATGGGCCGTCTGCTGTGTCCTAAGTTTATTTCTGTTTCTTTTCTTTCTTTCTTTCTTTATTGATACAGGGTCTCACTCTCTGTCACCCAGGCTGGCATGCAGTGACACGATCACAGCTGATTGCAAGCTTCGATCTTCTGAGCTCAAGTGATCCTCCTGCCTTAGCCTCCCAAGTATAAATTTTTATTTTTAGTAGAGACAGGGTCTCCCTATGTTGCCCAGGCTGGGTATTTCTTAATTTCTTTTTCTCTGTTTTAACAAACAGGGCTCCATGAATGTCTTTGGCCACATCTCTTTCTTGCTCATGTGTGAGGGCTTCTCATATGCCTGGAAAAGGAATGGCTGGGCCGTGTGGCATTCCAATCTTCAGATTTGCCAGAAACAGGCAAATTACTCTGCAAAATAGTTGGAACAATTTACATTCCTGGTAATAGGGCAAGGGAATTCTTGTTTCTTTATGTTTTAGCCAGCGGCTGGAATTTTCCCCCAGCTTTTCTTCCTGGCAAACTTTTTTCCATCTTTACTTTGTAGTCAAAAAGTTTTCATTGTGCATTTTAATCTCGTTTTCCTATACAGGATATATATATGTGTGTGTATGTATGTGACTGTGTATATATTTCTCCATCTATCTATCTATCTATCTATCTATCTATCTATCTATCTATCTATCATCTATCTGTCTATGTAATTTCAACAGGAATCAAAGGGTACACCATGAAAATCTTTCTCCCATCCCTGTCCCCAGCCACCCAAACCCAGGTCCCAAACCCAGGTAGATGTCAACCATTGTTAACAGCTTCTTTTGTTTTCCATCCAGAGAAATTCTGTAAATATGTAAGCAAATGTATATATTTTCTCTCCTTACCCCAGTTCTTAATCAAGTGGTAACACATCACTGTCATCACTGTACTGCACCTTTATTTTCACACAAATTCTATCTTGGGATAATGCCGTATCAGTATGCAAAGAACTACTCTTTCCTTTTTCTTGTCCTTTCTTTCTCTCTCTCTCTGTTTTTTTTTTTTTTTTTTTTTTTGACAGTGGCATAACCTTTCACCTGTAGACAAACATCTTTTGTTTCCAAACTTTTGCCATAATCTATGAGGCTGTGGTGAATTTCCTTATACATTTTTCAGATGTAAAGCATATATATCAGATGAAGTCCTATGAGTGGAATTCCCAGCTCAAAGCGTAAATGTATTTGTATGTTTGACAGCGTCCTGTTGCCCACCCCAACCCAAGAATGCATCAGTGGACGCTTGCCCCAGGCCGTCTCCCCCATGCCTTTAGGAACATAATGCATTATCCAGTGTTTTGACATTTGCTAATACCAACAGGTATAAAATGGTATCTCAAAGTGTTTTTATTTTTAAAATAGCCTTATTGTGATATAACTGACATACTATAAAGTTCATTTGTTTTAAAGGTACACTTCAATAAGTTTTAGTAAATTTATAGGGTTATAACCATCACCACAATCGAATTTTAAAACACTTCCTTCACCCCAAGTATCTTGACATGGGTTAAATTTTCATTTCTCTGAGTGAGAGTATGTTTTCATTCATTTAAGAGCCATTTCTATTTCCTTTTCATTGAATTTTCTGTTCATATACTTTGCTCTTTTTTTTTCTATTTTTTTTTATTGATTTGTAGGTACTCTTTATATATTATGCTTCCAGATTAGTGTAAGTGCCTGTCCTCCAAAATTCACCCTGTGGTTCCAATTCTCACAGGCTGGAATTAATAGAACCTGTGGATGGGGCTGCTCCTTTACCACACCGTGAGGTGCCTGCACACAGTGACCTTATTTGATTTTATTCCATGTCCTCTGCTGCCTAGCACAGGGCCTGGCCAGCATAGATCTCTGCAAGTAAGCCTGGACTCAGCAGCGGTCCACCTATGTTCTTTCTTCCCTCAGCATTCTTCTCATAATTTGTGGAGATTTTTCGATCTGTGTGGTGAGTCATATCTGACTCCTCCACTGGACTGACTGCTCCCTGAGGGAAGGTACCATGGCTGCTTTGTTTGCTGCTGTATATCTGGGGTCCATGACAGTGTGGCCTAGCACATTATTTAAAAGTGCTGATGAGATGAATTTATTAACTAATTAATTACTAAGTGGTTTACAGTACCTGGAAGGAGAAAGATATTGGAAGGTTACAGAGAAGGAAAGCCAAAACCAGCAGAGCCACAGCACCTGGTATTTCCATGACGGGCACATCCCTGAACCAAGGGCCTGAAGTGGGTGGGTGGGAACCCTGGTGCACAAGTCCACAGGTGGTAATACTGCAGGACTCTGCCATCACATTGCCATTCAGGAATACAGTCCCAGGGTAGCTCACCTTACAACTTTTCAAGAGAAGCTCGAAATGACGCTCTTTATGTGACATCTCTCACTTCGAAATGTTGGTAATGATCAGTCACTGCACAGGCCCCCGAGACTTGGGCTGCCAATTTGCAAAGCCTGGGTTTACAAAACAAACCTCTTTTTAAATGCAAGCTCACACCTAATTCTGCCAGTAATCCTGGGGGGAGGTGGACAGAGGAAGACCCTGAGGCTCAGAGTGGAAAAATGACTTGCGTACAGCCACCCAGCTGTACGTGGCTGGGTATGTGTGCAGGGGTATGTGTGTGCGGAGGAGATGGGGGGAGTCCCGACCCCCTGGCCTGAGCTGTCACACAGCTCCTCTTCCAGGAGGGAATTGGGGCATTTCTGAGGGAAGTGAAGCTAATTCTCAGAGCTCCTGGCCAAGGAGTTTGTCACAAGCCTGCCTGCATGCTTGGCCTGACACCTCTGAGTCCCTTCCACGGCAGAGATGGGGAGGCTGAGCTCCCACCTGGAAGCCCAGCTGGGCTGCGGCCTTCTCTCCACTCTCTATACCTCGCTGTCCGTCCGTGCCCCACGCACAGCAATTAATCACCACCGCCTCATGACAACTCTGGTATAATTATCTTGTATTATGAGTGAAGTCTCACCAGCAGGCCAGCCCTCCCTAGAGAGGCCACGGCTCCCTCAGAGCCGGGTCAGATGTGTTCTCCGCCCCCATGGGCACAGCGGGTGCAGGGATGTGGAGGGGCCTCAGTGGTTCTCTCCCTCCATCCCAGGCCCCTCTGGGATAGGGGCAGGTTGGTGGGGCTGGAGTGGCTGCTGAATGACTTCCAAAGTCATGAGGGGAAGGAGGAGTTACCGTAGTGATAAAGAGAAATGACAATGATGAAGGCAGGTGGCTGGGCCCGTCCAGCCCCCTCTAGTCCTCATTCCCTCATTCCCAGAGTTGCGACTGATGCCAACCAATTGTCAGATATGATTCCAGTGGCTGAGCTGTAGCCACAAGCAAAACAGGAACTCCCTCACCTCCAAGGATCCTGGTATTCTAGAGGGGGAGTCAGACAACACACACACAGGGGCGAGACTATTTCAGACTGTGTTAAGCACTATAAAAGAATGCATAGACAGAGAAGAGCAGGGGACAGGGGAGCAACTTGGCTCTTGGAGAGTGACACTTGAGTGGAGTCAGAATGCATTCGGGGTGGAGGGGACAGTAGACTCAAAGGCCCTGGGGTGGGAACACTCTGGAACAAGAAGAGAGTCATTGTGGCTGCAGTGAGGAAGAAGGAAATCAGGTCTGAGAGGTCAGTAAGGGCCACTACATAGGTTCTAAGAGTTTGGCTTTTATTCTAAATTCAGTGGGATGCGTTCTCAGAAACGATTTTTTTGCTGCCAACTAAACTGTAGCCTTTGGCAGTTTGCCCCCGTCTATAATTTCCTGCCCATCCATCCATCCATCCATCCATCCCTCCAAACATCCTTTCAAGAAACACTTATGGAGCACCTACTGTGTGTTAGTCTGGCCCTGGGGAACAGCAGTGACAAAGCAAAGCCCCTGCTCCCAGAGAGCCCGCCTTCTGGAGGTAGAGACCCTCACCCCACCTCTTCTGCACGGGCACCGGCTCCGCGGACCCCACCCGAGACCCCGCCGCCGCCAGGTGGCGCTCTGCGCCTGCGCTTGGGCAGCAGCCGGGGGTCGCCGGGCTGGGGCCGGGGCCGGGGCCGGGGCAGGGGAGGGGCGGCCGGGGAGTGGGGGCGGGGCCCGCGTCGCAGGTTGTGTGACTTTGGGTTTGACCTGCCTGGAGATGAGCTAATCCCGCCGTATAATAGACTCTGGGGAGATAGGGAAAATGGCTGCGGCGCTATCTGCGTCGCCATGGGGACCATCGCGCGCGCGCGGGCGGGGCGCGAGCCTGGAAAAATACAGCCTTTGTCGGCGGCGCGTGTCACTAACGGCGCGGGGACCTCAGGCGGCGGGCTCGGGCTTCCTTGTCCCAGCTGCAGAGGCTCTGGGGCTCGGACGCCCGGGTGTCCCCAAACTCCGCGGACGGCCCCTCTTCCTTCCACACTCGCACATTCCGTTTTGGTCAAGAAAGTCTCCCGTGACACAGCACGTTCCACCCCGCCGCTCTGGCGTCTGTCACACCGGCACACACCATTCCCTGTCGCTTCCCCAGCCCGGAGTCCACCCACGCTGGCACACGGACAGGCCCCGACGACTGCCCTTCCCCGTGCCCCTCTCTCAGCTCACCAGGGCACACCTGGGCAGAGATACGGCAGGACACACACAGCCTCACGCAGACCCAAGCACACCCCAAGCACGCCCGGCGGGAGCGGTGACACTTGCATGCTCATCCCGGTAGGCACAGGTAGCTTGTGTGCCCCGAAACACAACGTAGGGTGGGCACTTGCATGCACACAGCACATCCACCCTAGTGGCCTCCGGCGTGCTCCCCTAAACAGCCACCTCCAGGGCAGACACAGTGAGGCACTCGCAGGATGCTCATCCGCTGCACTCGGACACGCGGGCTTGCATTCCCATTCCTCCACCACGTGTCCAGCCACCCTGGGCCGCATGCCTGCCCACAAGCTTAGTGCAGCACCGCCTCCTGTGTGAACCCTCCACCCGCCTCATCGGCCGCCTCCGGACACAGCACAGACGCCTGCCATGCGTGTGCATGGATGGGCTCGCACACCTGCACTTTTTTGTGGTACACTTGTTTGACACACCCGCACAGTTGCATCGGCGTTAGCCCATGCACTGGCACACCCACGTGTCCATCCAAACACGCCGGGCACACCGGGGCGCACACTCAGTGGCCCCGGCAGGCAGGCGAGTGGTACGGGCACGGGGAGCCCGCGTGCCCCCAGCAGAGGGCTATCTGCCTGCCCATCAGCGCTCGGATCTGCGGTGGTAAATGATGCATTCGATGGCGGGCGCATTTGTTGTGCGCTCTCTGAAAGGGCTCCGATAATCTGGAAGGCAGAGATAAGGAACACCATTTATTCCGCGGCACTTTGGAAACAATTCCCAGCCCTGTACAACCCCATTCTCGGGCAGCCTCCGGGAGCCGGGCAGATAACGACTGGCTATTCATTATCTTCGCCGGGAACAAAGATTAGCCGGCCGAGATGAAAAATTACCCCGGACAGCGGCGCAGCCCCGCGCGGAGCCCCCTGCCCGCCACCACCGCCCGCGCCTTGGTGTCCCGCCCTGCCCGCGGCCCGCAGCTCATGCCCAGCCCATCCTCGCCCGGCGCCCGGCCTCCCGCGCTTCCTTCGAGCTTGGCGGCTAAGCCCTGTCGGCCTTTCCATCTCAGTCTGTCCATCCCATCCTGCCCATCTTTCCTTTGCGTCCCCACTCTTCTCTCTGGGGCCCTTCTCACGTCCCTCTTCTCGCATTGGCTCTTTGCGCCTCTCTTTGAATCTCTCTATTTTTGTCTTATCTCTCTGTCCTCTCTTATCTCTCTCCTGTCTCTGTCCATGTCTCTGTGGTTATCACCTTCTTTGCTTTTATTCCCATCTTTCTGACCCTTTCTGCCACTTTTTAGTTGTTTATTTCTGTCTGTCTCCAAGTGTCCCCAAGCTCCAGGCCTGTCCCCACCAGTGCCTCTTCCTCATTGTTTTTTTAAAATCTGTCTTTGGGCCTCCCATCTCTTTCCCCACTCCTTGTCTCTCTGGATCTTTCTGTCACTGAATCTCCATTTCTCTTCATCCACCCCACCCTGAGGGCCCCACATCTCCAGGCCTCATACCTCCTGCCCTCTCAAGGCTGTGAACCTGGCCACAGACCAGAGACTGGAAGGCTCCAGCCAGCTCTGGCCTGGCCAGCCCAGCTCCGCCCAGTAGGCAGGAGGCAGGTGGGGTGGGGAGGTGCAAGGCCTGGAACCCCCTTTCCAAGGAAACAAGACAGAAGTAGAAAAGGCCCTGTAGGCACCCAGGCCCTGCTCCTGTGCTTCAGACAAGCTCGCCCATGCCCCTCCCCAGTGAGGCCCAGGGCCTTGGGATCGGGTGGTCCCAATGAGGACACCTCATTAGAGCAGTTATTCAGCATGGCGCTGGCGACAGCAGATAAGCCTTATCAGCTCATCTCCCCTCCCACAGACAGACAGAAAGTGCCCGAGCAAATGGTACCCTAGAGCTCCACTGGCGGCCTGCCCTGCTGGTTAAGGAAGGTCTGGATGGTGTGTGATCCTGCAGGATGCACACCCCGCGTGTCACCCAGGACACACTTTTCTACAGTCCACAGAACAGGGCACTGCTGGCCACAGAAACATGCATTTCAAAGATGTAGTCATATACACAGTTGCCCACAACCCAGATACGCAGACACAAACACCCACCGCAACACACATCAATTCATACATGGAGCTGTACGTAGACATGCAGACACACTCGGATACATCTCCTCCTCCCCACCATCAGTTCAAAGATACAATGATATACACTGATACCTATGCTGTTAAAGACAGATGGACATGCACATAGCCAAATGCATGTTCAAATACACAAACACAAACACACGCCCCAACAGCCATCAATTAATAAAGAGAATTATACATGGATATCCAGACACATGCAACACACCACACACACACACCTACACATACACCAGTTCAAGGACACATGCAGATACCCAGGTACAAACTATTAAAGACACACACAGGCTAGGCGCAGTAGCTCACGCCTATAATCCCAGGACTTTGGGAGGCCGAGGTGGGAGGATTGCTTTAGTCCAGGAGTTTGGGACCAGTCTGGGCAACATAGTGAGACTGTGTTTCCACAAAAATAAAAATAAAAATAATTAGCCAGGCACGGTGGCACATGCCTGTGGTCCCAGATACTCAGGAGGCTGAGGTGGGAGGATGGCTTGAGTCTGGGAGGTTGAGGCTGCAGTAAGCGCTGATTGAACCGCTGCACTTCAGTCTGGGTAACAGATCAAGACCCTGTCTCAAGAAACAAAACAAAACAAAACAACAACAACAACAAAAATACACACAGTAACACATGCCTAGATACATGCACATACACACGCAAACACACACTCCAAAACACACCCATTCATAGACATGCCACACACTGCTACAGACACATGGGCAAACACCTGGAAATCCCCACCCCTCATTACATGAGTCTCTGACATGATGACCCCACAGACACAGAGCCAAAGGGACGCACAACCATTTCCACAGACACACTCTCTTGTGCCAAATTCCAGGGTCATGAAATAGCCACACTGTGACCTACTGCCCAATACACAAACTCTCAGGAACCCACAAGAAGAAATGAACATACTCATACACCCAGTTTTGCAGACACTCCTGTGTGCTCCTAAGTGCACACAGACACACCTGGGCACACAGGACATAGACTCTGAGCCACATGCATAGAACACACACACAATGCAATAGTCACCACCAGATTTGGAGAAAGACCTATGGACAGCAGGGGTCACAAAGACCAGGGGACAGAAACACTCCTCTGGGGCACACCTGGGCACGGGAGCACAGATTTCCCAGTCCTTCCAAGCCCAAGCACTTTCCCTCTGGGCTCAAGGTCCCCAGGCCACTTTCACTCTCCCTGATCTGCTGGAATGGGAATCAGGGGTGGGGGTGGGGGGACGCTGACTGGTTGAATCCCTTAGTAAGAACTTTGGCAGCACAAGGACTGGACTGTCTTTGCCCACAAACCCAGGGGCCTTCTGGGGATGAGGACTCCCACACTCACTTTCTCCCCCCCTCCTGACTCCCACTTCTGTGAACAAGCCCTCTGCACACTTCCTTGCTTCCCCCATTGTGAGAGTCTGCCCCAAGGAGATGGGCCAGGGGGACACCAGACAGTGGACTTCTAAAGTGCTCAGGGGGTCCCCCAGCGTTAGGAACTGGAGGGGGGGTGGGACAGGGAGAGGGGCTGCGCCTGCACTTAGCTAAACAAGCCTGGCAGTGAGGGCGTCCTGAGTGTGAGCCCGAGTGCCGAGTTGCATCTGATTGTATGGCCATGTGTGTCGGTGTGACCCAGGCCGTCTGTCTGAGGATGTCCTCGCGGCCACAGCTGTGTGCACATGTGCAGGGATGTGTGCGTGTCCGTGTGAGCACTCCTGGAAGTGGGTTGAAGACAGAGGAGCGGGCGTCTGTGTACCATTATCAGTGAGTGCGTGTGCTCACAGCTCCTGAGGGTCCCCGGGGAGAGTCTCAGTAAAGACGTGTCCCAAGCTTTCTGAGCAAGCATCCCTGAGGTCAGGGGCGCGCGTGTGCGCTCCGGAGAGGGTGGGAGCGGCCTGGAGTGTGGATGCACAGGGTGTGCGCGCCCTGAGTGCCTAGCGGCCCTTGGCCGGCCAGGCGGCTGGACCTGGTAGGCCGGGTGCAGAGCCCCGGGTACCCTCCTGCCCCCTGCGGCGCTCCCGCCCCCGTCGCCACCCCCTGCCCCCCCGCAAAGTGATGTCGAAATAAAAAGCCGCGTTGCGGCCGGTGGGGGAGAGAGAGGCAGCGTGAGCGCCAGGAAGGTAGCGAGGCCAGCGTCGCCCCGGGACTCGCTGCTCAAGTCTGTCTATTGCCTGCCGCCACATCCATCCTAGCAGGGCCCCGTCGCCCACCAGGCGGACAAAAGCGGTCCGCTGAACACCATGCGGCCGCTCGGCGTGCCGCCCAGGCTCTGCTGGTGAGCGCCGCCACCCCGCGCCCAGGTCCCGCGAGCCCGCCTGCCGCGCACCTCGCCCTGCTCCCAGCTCTACTCCAGGCCCCGTCCGCCCGGGGGCGCCGCCCACCGCGCCTCGCTCGGTGAGTTTCTTCCACTTCCACCTTCCCTGGGCCCGGCCCTTCCCGCCCCCGGCCCGGCCCGCCTGGCACCCGAATCGCTTGGTCCGTTTGCCCTGTGGCCCCTACCTTTGGGGCTCGCCTTGGCCCTGCCAGAGACCGGAAACCCTGGTTATAGGGACTTTAACCAGAGGGAGTATTTGGTTACCTGGGCACAGCAGGCCCGCCTCGGGCCTCTTGTCTTCCCATTTCTCGGAGCCACAGGCCACGAGACCCTGGCATTCCCAGAGCCTCGCAAAGCACCCCCGCCTCCCGGCCCCCGAACTGGGGCCTTTGTCTCGGCCGCCCCCAATCCCCAGGCCACCGCGGCGGATGCGTCCGAGCCGGGCCGCCGAGCGGCGGCTGCACCTGCCGGCTGGTCCCGTGCGCCGGCTTTTCGCGGCTTAACCCAGCTCGCTCCTGCTTGCGCCCCCGCGCGCTGCGCCCCGCAGCCCTTTATCCTGTGTGACTGGGGTGCGTGTGGGGGAGAGCGCCGGGTCTGGAAGTCTCCCCCCGCCCCAAGCCGGAGTCGGAATCCGTTTAGTGGGATTTCAATAAGAATGGGGCCGCCGCGGGCTTGAAGATCTGCCGCCGGTAGGCGTAGACGGCGTTCTGGATCTGTCTGAAAACGGGGCATTTAAAATTATTCTGTGGCGGCCAGGCTTGAACTCCGCGTTGCTCCAACCACGAGGGGAAAGGCCCCGCGTTCAGGGACCCCGTGTGTGGCGAACGCTCCTTTACCGGAAAACAAGGAAGGAAATTCGTTGTTTTGGAAAAAGCCTCCTCTCCCGAGGTCGGGAACATCTGGTGGTGAGCTCCAGGTCTACGCAGGCACCCCGTGCTAGGATTCGTTTATGAGCAGGCAGGATTCGAGAACCAGGTAGGGCCCGTGCGGCAGCCGAGGCGTCTGGGGAGCGTTTCCCAGCCGGGCTGACAAATTGCAGACAAATTGTGCCTAACGAAACGGATTTACCAGTTGTCAGGCCGCCGGCCCCGGCCGCTCCAAATAAACCGTGGCTGTTCGTGGAGGAGGGAGAAGCACGGCCCGATTGTCTCCGGGTCTCAGCAGGGTTCCGCGGGGAGCCTGCCAGGCTTGAAGGTAGGGGTCAGAAGCGATATAGAATCTCGGAGGCGCCTGGGTCCAGGGTGCCGAGACACCTAGGACGTGGGGGCCACAGACTCTACGATTCCCAAAGACACAGAACAGTAATGAGGTGGGAGAGCCTGCACTGATGCCGAGGGAGGGAGCCTTCTGCTTTAAGGGGCTGGAATTGAACCTCAAGGAGCAGGAGGGGCCGTTATAGCAGTAGTCCCCCCCTTGGGAACCCCCCCGGAGGGATGGCTGCTGGCCTGAGATCTAATGCCCCGGCTTTAAGGGAACTTCTGAACCCATCTGCTAAGGCACCCCACTTCCTCCCCGTACCCCTCAAGGTTTATTGCCAGTGTGGGGCTGGGAGGCCGCTGGGTTGCGAATTAAATTTCTCTATGGAAGGTAGTCCCTTAGCAAATGGGTTTCCTTGACACCCCACCCCCAGCCCCACACCGCGGGCCAATTAGCTGCCCATAAGGAAAAGGCGAGAAGAATTAGGTTACAAAGGGAGGGCAAACTTATGGTCCCAAAGGGGCCGCCTCGGATGAGCTAACTTTAAACAAAGGGCTCAGAGGGGGGGGGGGGCTGGACGGCCGGGGAGACCTGGGCATCTCTGTGTCCCCACCTGGCACCCGCGGCTTAGTAGAGGCCTGAGAAGCACTCTAGAACCGGGCACCAGATCTGCTACCTCCCCAGCTCCCAGGCAGAAGCACCCAGGTCAAATGGTGGCGATCGCCGCTGTGAGTTCTCGGGCCAAAAGGGTCCTTCGAAAATTCTGCTTCCTGGCTGACCTTCTCCAGTCCTCAGAGAAATCTTGTTCCCAAGTAAGGAAAGTGACAGCTTCTTAATGTGATCAAAGGCAGCGCCAGCATTTCCAACTATACTCCCGAACGAACAAAGTACTGAAAAAGGGAACGCGTCCCTCTAAAGGTGTTTTGGGGACCCCAAAGTTCCAGCCCATAAATTGGAGTAAATCTGCTCTCACCAGGCCTGGAACAGCGCCTCAAGACCCCAGCAGATTCTGGGGGCTGCGTTGACCCTCCCCGGGAGTTTGTTTGGGGCCCAAGGTGGGAGGACCATGTCTTCGGCCTAATGGGGAGGGGCCCGGTTGGTGTCCCTCGGTCTGCCTGGCACACACAGACATTGTCGAGCGCGGGTCCCTCTTTATTGGCCAGCTGGGCGCCCTGCTACTTGGCGTCGCATTTCTCTCTCCCAGGCGGGTTCGTTTCCGCCAGAGAATGCAGCAGTCCCGCATCCTACGCAGGACCTGCAACCGAGGTGGAGGCTTCGGTCAAGCCGGCTCCTGCCTGCGTTGTCGAGGAAGGCAACCCCAAGGCCTGAAAGGACCTGGCAGAACTCCTGTTTCCTTTTTTTCCTCTACACCGGATTGCGGGCAAGGAGGCTGGTTCGGGTCTCCCGAGGCCCCTGCTCAAGCACTCCTTAACCGTCCTGCTAAGCCCCTCTGTGCGGCGATTTTCTGAGCTGCCGAGCGGGGTAATTAAATCCCCTCCCTCGCTCCGCTCTGCGTCAGGCAGGCGGCAGCACAGGGCTGACGTTTGGGCAGGGGACTCAGCCAGGCTGGCCACCTCCACTACCGCAGTGGCCGGGACCCTGCCGCGGAGGGGTTAGACGCCGAGCTCGCTGCGCTGAAACTGGGAATACACACGGAACGGGGAGGGGGAGGGTAATTTTTACCGCGCCGGTGGGAGAAAAAGGCGAATTACCTGCTTTCCCGAGGGACGCGCGTAGCCACTTCCCTGAGAGCCGCGGCACCGATCGCGGCCGGGCGGGAAGCTTCCGCTCGGTCCTGGCGTTCACAGCCCAGCGGCCAGCTGCTGGTCTGCCTCCCGCGCTGGGTCCCAGGGTTCGCGCTCGAGCGGGGCAGCTTTGCCGGACACGGGGGATTATCCCTGGGGACGCGGTGTCTTTCAGAGGGTCTTGCTAGTCTCCGGAGACGCCAAATAGGCTCGAGCTCCGCGGCGATCTCATTTTACGAGTTGATGAAGAATCGTAAGCTAAAGGATGGGAAAAGTTGAGAGACAGACGGACGGAGAGACAGTGGGCCCCGGCGGGACCGCACGCGTTGAGGGGAACGCCAACCGGGAGGCACGGAGACTGCTCACCTGCCCGGCCTGGCCGCGGAGGCCCGGCGCCAAGGGCCTCGCGCTCGGCCTCCCGCCCCCTGCGCGGCTTCCCGGGCTGGCGCCGGCCTCCGCTCCCGCAGAGTGGAGTTCCGAGCAGACCGGGCTCCGCGCGCTCCAGCGTGGAGGGGAGCGGGAGGCTTAGCAGGCGGCTCGGGCAGGCGGGTCCCCCAAGGGCACGAGACGCGCTGGTTCCCAGCCCAATGGAGCTCTGCGCCCCCCAGCCCCGCGCTTTACCTGCGCTGAGGCCTCGGACAGACAAACGGACGCCAGACGCCTAGGCAGGAGGAGGCCTCAGCCTGAGCCCGCGGCCCCTTGGCGCTGCCCTGAACTGGCCTGGGAGGGGGTGACGGGGGCGCGCCCGCGGAGCTGGGCCCAGCCGGGCGCCCCCGGAGCCGAGGGGACCGAGGGCTTTCCTCCCTCCTCGGATTATTAAAAAGTTCATTTCCTGGCGAATCGGGTGACGTCAGGGGCTCGGCGTCGCGGTGGCGGGGCCGCCCGGCCGGAGAAGCCGCCTCCAGTTACCCAATTACCGACTGTCAATCCCGCCGCCCCTCCCCCACTCTCCCGGGGGTGGCCGGGACCCCAGCCCTCCTCCTGCCCCCGACCCACCTGGGGGCCCTCTGGACATCTACCCCGGGAGCCTCGGGCCCAACAGGGAAGAGGGCTGGAGGACGCTGTTGAGTCCCCCCAGTACTCGGCACCTGTCTAGGTCCCCCAAAATGCCTTTGTCCTGGACCTCCCTCCTCGGCCCGGGGCTCCCTTCGAGCCTCCGTCTCCCCAGTCTGTACAATGGGAGGGAGGAAGACTTGTGCGCCCGGCCCACACGAACCATAGAGCCGATCTCCGGGCTAGAAGTGAGTGGGGAGCACTTCCAGGTGACTTAGAAGACGGAGACCTCAGACCACCGCCTCCCCCTCACCAGAGGCCACCTCGGGGACCCCCCCCGGAGGAAAAAAAATGCCACCTCTTGCCCGGGGGCGTCTCCCTCCAGCTGGCGCCGGCGCCAGTCCGGGTCTCCACGGCCTCGCCCCAGGCAATTGGGCCCGTTGGCCTGCGAAGGCCACGCCCGGGGAGGGGTGCCCCCTCCCCCTTTCTGGAGCCACCGGCCGGGCCACCTCCACTGGGTCAAGCACAGCCCTGAGCGGCCGCGTGTCCGAGGCCCAGGTGCCCTCTAGAGCCCTGTAGTTCCTGCCCCTCTCTGCCCCTCTCGGCTCCTGCTGTTCCGCCGCTGTCGTCCGAACCATCCCAACCCCCAGTCCACCCAGACAGCGCCCGAGCTAGGGGAGGGAACGGTCTGGGTAGGTAACTGCGCTCGGACTGACCACGTTCAGCGGTGAAGGAGCGTGGCGGGGTTAGGGTCTCGGGGAGAGGCCATCCAGAGGGTGTGCGGCCCGGGCTCCTGGGGAGGGGGCAGTTGGTGGTTAGTTACTGCTAGGGAGGCCCAGAGCATCGAGGGATCCCGGAGTGTTCGCAAGAGGGGCTGCAGGGGTCGGGCCTTGGGGTGAGGGTCCCTTAGTGGTGGGGCGCGTTGGCAGCAGGGGCCGCCAGGAGCGCGCAGGGAGGGGGCCCGCCGGCTGAGGGGGGCCGGCCCGCGGGTCAGTCCCGGAGTCCAGCGGTTCGGGAATTGCGGACGCAGCCAATGGGAGGCGGAGGCTGGGAGGCGCGCGGCGTTGATTGGCTGGCTTGGGCTTCTTAGGCGTGCGCGGCCCCCGCTTCATGTCTGTGCAGGAGTCGGCAGCTGGCGCCAGGGCGGCCGGAGGATGCCGAGGGGCCGGAGCCGGGAGGGCCCGAGGCCGAGGCGCACTCTACCCCCAGCTCCTACCCTGTAAGCCCCGCCAGCCTCCGGACGTGCTGTCCCTGGGCCCGTCGCCCTCGGGGCTCCCGCCGGAACTCCTTCACTCTCAGAGGCCGAGTCCCTCCCCTCCCCACGGCTGCGTGTGTAAGTTTGGGGTTTGAGAGCCGGCTGGGGGCCTGGGGCGCTCCTAGCTTTGAGGGGACTCTGGGGGGACTTAGGGCGGGGGGCCAGGCTGCGGGCGACTGCTTTGGTGTGCTTTGTTGAGAGGTCCTGATTGTGCCGCTTAGTACTGCGCTCAGGGGGCTGCGTGTGCATGTTTTCGGGGTTGAGATCAGTATGTGTATCTGGCGCCAAGTGTGGGTGTGTGCGTGTCGCTGGGATCAAGTGCCACACTGGGTGCCCGGGCGCCTGTCTCCAACTTTTGAGTCTGTGTTCATGTGTTTGTCTACCGGGCGGGGGGGCTCAGTGTGAGTGTCTGACTGAAGTGCTGCTCTGTGCGTTTGTTGGGGTCACTGGTGTCGGGACCCGTCCCCGGGCGTGACCCCATGTGCACGGGTGTGTGATTCTGGAGCCGCGGGTCACCACGTGAGTGTGCGTGGCTGAACCCCCTCCCCCGCCTTCCTTTCGTTTTGAGCCTTGGGCTTTCCTCCCACCCGGGACTGGTGCTCTTTCTCGCCGGATCTGGGCTGGGGCTCCGTGGCGTGCGGGACACCTCGTGGTGGGACTTTGGGGGGTGTCAGGCGCTGGCGGCACGCCTCACTCCCCCTTCCTCGCGCAGGGCCGTTGCCGTCTGCACCCAGACCCTGAGCCGCCGCCGCCGGCCATGGAGGTGGCGCCCGAGCAGCCGCGCTGGATGGCGCACCCGGCCGTGCTGAATGCGCAGCACCCCGACTCACACCACCCGGGCCTGGCGCACAACTACATGGAACCCGCGCAGCTGCTGCCTCCAGACGAGGTGGACGTCTTCTTCAATCACCTCGACTCGCAGGGCAACCCCTACTATGCCAACCCCGCTCACGCGCGGGCGCGCGTCTCCTACAGCCCCGCGCACGGTGAGCACTGGGCCCGTGGTGATGAGAACCCAGGCGCCGCGCGCCAGGCGAGGGAGGGGAGGAGGGCCCGTCTGCTTGCTTCCCGGATGTAGGATCCGCAGGAATCGAGCTGCTGAAAAATTGGGGCGGGAGAGGTGGGAGCAGCGGCCGATTGGGGAGGGTCTGGGACCCACAGGGTTTCTGCCCACTTCCAGCTGGCCTGTGAGGGTTCCCTGTAGGGTCTGTCCGGTGGGGTTCCTTCTATGCCACTTGTCCTTCAGCTTGGACTGACATTCCTGATTATTACCGGTGGGGTATTATGTTTCTGGCTTTCTTTGGGGAGGGGATGACTGCTGGTTCTGGGAGTCGTGATCTCAATGTCTGTCAGGGGCGTCCCTAGCTCTGCCTACCCTGATCTTTCTGCCCACCCTGATCCTCTCTCTCTTTGCCCGCAGCCCGCCTGACCGGAGGCCAGATGTGCCGCCCACACTTGTTGCACAGCCCGGGTTTGCCCTGGCTGGACGGGGGCAAAGCAGCCCTCTCTGCCGCTGCGGCCCACCACCACAACCCCTGGACCGTGAGCCCCTTCTCCAAGACGCCACTGCACCCCTCAGCTGCTGGAGGCCCTGGAGGCCCACTCTCTGTGTACCCAGGGGCTGGGGGTGGGAGCGGGGGAGGCAGCGGGAGCTCAGTGGCCTCCCTCACCCCTACAGCAGCCCACTCTGGCTCCCACCTTTTCGGCTTCCCACCCACGCCACCCAAAGAAGTGTCTCCTGACCCTAGCACCACGGGGGCTGCGTCTCCAGCCTCATCTTCCGCGGGGGGTAGTGCAGCCCGAGGAGAGGACAAGGACGGCGTCAAGTACCAGGTGTCACTGACGGAGAGCATGAAGATGGAAAGTGGCAGTCCCCTGCGCCCAGGCCTAGCTACTATGGGCACCCAGCCTGCTACACACCACCCCATCCCCACCTACCCCTCCTATGTGCCGGCGGCTGCCCACGACTACAGCAGCGGACTCTTCCACCCCGGAGGCTTCCTGGGGGGACCGGCCTCCAGCTTCACCCCTAAGCAGCGCAGCAAGGCTCGTTCCTGTTCAGGTAAAGGCAGGTGCTGGGGACTTCGTGGAAGAGGGGAGCATTTGCGTTTTTGTGGTGGGGAGCTGTGACTTGGGAGAGGTGGCAGTGTTGGTTTCCCAGATCTGGGGATGGGTGATGTCTCGCTCTAATAGCCCCCAGCAGATGTTTGAGACCCCCGGGTCAGGGAGAGGAGACTCTAAAACTTTTGCCATTTTCTTAAGTGCTTCCAGTGTACCCCCAAAGTTCAGTTCCTTGCCCCAGGGTTGGTCACTGCCTGACCAGAACATAGAACAGGAATTCCCCCTTTCCCTCCCTGAATCTTAAGTGAAAATTCAAGCCACCTCAGGACTTAGTATGTGAAGCGAGGGAAGTGACTCTGTATGTGCATGTGTTTGGGAGCGTGTGTGCATGTGTATACGTGTGTCTGTGTGCATGTTGTGTGTGCATGTTTCAGGCACTCCGGAGGTTCCAGACCATTAAGGAATCTGGGTCTCTAACTCAATCAGTCTGATCTTGGGATTTCGATGGCTCCCTGATCTCCTCGGGAGATTTTCCCCAGAGCAAAATTCCCAGGACCTGCTCCTGCTCCCTGCCCTCGCCAGGCCCTTCCCTCTCCCTCCCTGAGGGCTGGAGTGAGGGGATGAAGCTGCAGTGCCCCCGCCCCTTTTCCCGCAGCTGGCTGGGGCCAAACTGGGTTTGTCCAAGAATCTGGCCACAGAGCATAAACCCAGAAACTCGTGGCTAGTGTGGAGTTCTTGCTGTCCATGTCTCTTTCCCGAATCCCTTTGAGCCACAGAGGGGGAAGGTTTTTAAAACAGTTACTCCTGAGTGCAGGAACCACCTTCTCTTGCCAGGCTGTACTCCTCATTTAGTTTAAACTAAATCAAGAATAACTTCCTGGGGAACACGATGCCAGCCAGTGATCCTGCTCAACTTGGTCCCCAGCCCCAGCCCCCGCTGGCCCCAGCACCCGCTGAGCCCCGGCTCAGGGTCCTAGTTCTGCTCAGACCCGTCAGCTTGCCTTTTCTTGGTCCTTTCTCCTGTTTGTTTTGCATTTTATTTGAATTCCAGATGGTCTTTTAATTGAAAAAAAAAATACAAACAAAAAAAACCCAGGCCACTTATCTAAAAAAGAAAGAGCTTATTATTTATTTTATTTTAAAGAACAACAACTTCGATCCATTATTTCCAGGACTCAGAAAAATTCTAGAGCTTTGGTGGAAGAGGAGAAAAGTTGGGGAGAAAGAGGGAAATGCTTCTGGACTTAGAGCAGAAAGACGGGGTGGGGCAGACACAGTTGGGTAGAAAGGAGAGGGACAAAAGAGGAGAGGGGGAGAGACGCGCCAGAGCGGGAAGGAGAGAGCCTCCTGGGCCCAGCCAGGTTGAGCTGGGTGACTCCTGCCACCACCCTACCCTCGGCAAAGTTTGCAGTAAATACCCTCCTGGTTGCTCCAGAACGCCTGGGGCCCTGGGCCCCTCCTCCCCTCCTCCTTCGTTTCCATCCCTCCTGGTGAGGATTGGAAGCAGGGGATTTGGCTTTAAACGACTCTGGACCTGTGCCCCCTCCCATGTGGGAGACCCTCTCGTCCCTCTTCCTGCCCAGGCTGTTGCAGCCAGGCCCAGGCCAACCGTGTGCCTGAGAGGCACCGGCACTGCTCGGCTGGCTGCTTTCCTGCCCTGGACTCCCTCCCGAGAACTTGCCGGTTAAGCAGGCCCCCGTGTCTCTCCCTGTTCCCCTGCAGAAGGCCGGGAGTGTGTCAACTGTGGGGCCACAGCCACCCCTCTCTGGCGGCGGGACGGCACCGGCCACTACCTGTGCAATGCCTGTGGCCTCTACCACAAGATGAATGGGCAGAACCGACCACTCATCAAGCCCAAGCGAAGACTGGTAGGAGCGGGCACAGGTGGCTGGGAGGGGGCTGCTGGGCAGGAGCTGGCGGTTAATTACAGGGGAAAAAAACTCCTTCAAATGCAGACGCTTTGCCGCTTGAAATCCTCTTTTATCATGAAAAGCACTGGGATGTCAGTTGGGGTCGTCTCTCTTTCTGGCCAGATTCTTTCGGGCCAGATTTCCTCCTCGGGTATAGGGAGCCCACCGGGCACCCTTGCGCCACCCCACTCTGCTCCGGGATCCCCGAAGTTGAGTGTCCACGGGCCGGACTCCTGTCCTCTGGCCTCTGCTTAGCTCTTTTTTAAAAATAGGGCCATGAAGTACTTTTCCTTGTGGCTCAGCCCTCCCCGACAGCCCCGCTCACAAGCTCCTCGTGCTTATTTAAATAAAACACAAACTCACACCGGCCACTAAAAAAACCTGCCCTTTATTATTTTTCCATGGAGTCACCTATACTGTGTATTTTCATTTGAGTGATTTTAAAAAAATGCCCTTTCGGATCTCCTGCCGGAGTTTCCTATCCGGACATCTGCAGCCTGAAGATAAGGAAACTTCGTGTATCTGTTTCCGGACTCTGCGAGTTTTTAGAGTCTCCTCAGCTCAGTCCTGCCTCTCGCTGGGCTGTTTTGAAATTTCTAATACCCTCCACTCTGCAAATAATGCGTAAAATGCTAAGAATAATAAATATATTTTTTCAGGGCGAAGTGATTTATGAGGCTTAAATCGTTCCCTGCTTTGGGGGCCTTTTTTTCCCCTGGAGCGAGGGCGGGGTGAGGCCCGGGTGGGGGTAGAGGTGGAGGACGCGGCGTTGGCCCCTGAGTCAGAATTCCAGCTTCAGGCTGCTTACTCACCCCTCCCTGCCCCCGCGGCTGCAGTCCCTCTGTCCCTTCTGTGACCAGGCTTGGGCCTGGGGCTGTTCCAGGCTCTGCAGGCCTCAGCCCCCAGCCCCCCACACTCACCACCTGGTGCACTCCCGCCTGCAGTTCTCTGGGAAGTGTTGGGGGACCCCCTCTGTCACTGTGGGGCTGGCGTTGGTGGAACCGGGAGAGGGGATCTGTTTTCTTGGGTAAAGCCTCCCTCTAGCTTCTCTCTGCAAGGACCAGGCGCTCATTTCCAGACCCTACCTCTGCCAGGCATTTCCTGAGGGACTAGGACTCAGAGGGGCTGCGGGGTGGTTAAAGCTCTAAGGGTTGGGGTATGGGGGGCTGGATGGGGGGGATCAGCACTCACATCAGCTGGAGAGATGGAAAAGTTCTGTGTCTGCACTGCCCACTGTGGTAGCCCCTGGCCACATGTGAATATTGATCACTTGAAATGTGGCTCGTGCAATTGAGGGAACTGGGTTTTTAATTTTGTTAATTTGTAGTTAGATCTTATTTAAATGGCTGCCTGTGGCCAGCTGCTACAGTGTTGGACGGTGCAGCTCTGCACTCTGTAAACCTGCGCTGGCCTCAGCGACACTGACTCACCCAGGATTATGGATTTTGAGCGGAGTCGTGCTAGAGGAGACACAGAATCGGCCCCAGATCCAGGGGCTCGAGGGGGACCAAGCCGGCTCAGCCTCAGGATGCCTGTGCTACTAGAGAGCCCTTCTCAGGGCCTCAGTTTCCCCATTTATGGAGTTAGAGCGCAGGGTAGTTGGGGGAGGTAGCTAATTCTCCTCTGTAGCTCTTGCAATCCCGTTGATTCTAACATCAGGCTTCTGAGAGTTCTTTATTCCAAAGTTCTGTGAGTCTTGACTTATTTCGTTCTCAAATTCTAAAATTCCATGGTTCTGAGATGCTTTGATTCCCATGTGAGATTTAGCCCTCCTTGACTGAGCTGGTGGGGACTGGGGGTGGAGCGAGGGTCAGGGAGGGGGGTCGAGGTGGGCGTGGGAGTCCAGCCTGCTGACGCTGCCTTGCCCTCCCAGTCGGCCGCCAGAAGAGCCGGCACCTGTTGTGCAAATTGTCAGACGACAACCACCACCTTATGGCGCCGAAACGCCAACGGGGACCCTGTCTGCAACGCCTGTGGCCTCTACTACAAGCTGCACAATGTGAGTGCGCCCCGCCCCGGCCACCCCGCCCCTCCCAGGGGACCTCTGCGCTTTGTGCTGCCAGGCAAGAGGCCCCAGCCACAATATCCAGCTTGGCTTGGCTTGGGAAGCTGCTGCCCTGAGTGAGCGCCAGAAGGGCTTCCCGTAAGAGGGGTGCCTTGCCTCTGCTCAGGAGGTGGAGCTGGCTAGGACAGGGTCTCGGACTAGGGAAGTGGTTTCTCTGCTTAAAAAGGGTCAGGGTGGGGGGGAGGACTTCAGTTGGCTGGGCAGTGCTGGCATGCGGTGGGCAGAGCCAGGGAGGGTGTGGGTCAGCCCCATATGCCAGAACCCGCCCTTCCTGGAATGGTAGCCATCTGGTGATGGGACTATGAAGGTCGGGCACAATTCCTGGCTTCCTGGGACCCTCAGCTTGACCTGCCTCTGGTCCACGCTGTGGCGGGGTGGGAGGAATGTTGCTGGAGGAAGGAACTGGCCCTCTGAAAACTGGTGGTTGCCTCTAGGTTAACAGGCCACTGACCATGAAGAAGGAAGGGATCCAGACTCGGAACCGGAAGATGTCCAACAAGTCCAAGAAGAGCAAGAAAGGGGCGGAGTGCTTCGAGGAGCTGTCAAAGTGCATGCAGGAGAAGTCATCCCCCTTCAGTGCAGCTGCCCTGGCTGGACACATGGCACCTGTGGGCCACCTCCCGCCCTTCAGCCACTCCGGACACATCCTGCCCACTCCGACGCCCATCCACCCCTCCTCCAGCCTCTCCTTCGGCCACCCCCACCCGTCCAGCATGGTGACCGCCATGGGCTAGGGAACAGATGGACGTCGAGGACCGGGCACTCCCGGGATGGGTGGACCAAACCCTTAGCAGCCCAGCATTTCCCGAAGGCCGACACCACTCCTGCCAGCCCGGCTCGGCCCAGCACCCCCTCTCCTGGAGGGCGCCCAGCAGCCTGCCAGCAGTTACTGTGAATGTTCCCCACCGCTGAGAGGCTGCCTCCGCACCTGACCGCTGCCCAGGTGGGGTTTCCTGCATGGACAGTTGTTTGGAGAACAACAAGGACAACTTTATGTAGAGAAAAGGAGGGGACGGGACAGACGAAGGCAACCATTTTTAGAAGGAAAAAGGATTAGGCAAAAATAATTTATTTTGCTCTTGTTTCTAACAAGGACTTGGAGACTTGGTGGTCTGAGCTGTCCCAAGTCCTCCGGTTCTTCCTCGGGATTGGCGGGTCCACTTGCCAGGGCTCTGGGGGCAGATTTGTGGGGACCTCAGCCTGCACCCTCTTCTCCTCTGGCTTCCCTCTCTGAAATAGCCGAACTCCAGGCTGGGCTGAGCCAAAGCCAGAGTGGCCACGGCCCAGGGAGGGTGAGCTGGTGCCTGCTTTGACGGGCCAGGCCCTGGAGGGCAGAGACAATCACGGGCGGTCCTGCACAGATTCCCAGGCCAGGGCTGGGTCACAGGAAGGAAACAACATTTTCTTGAAAGGGGAAACGTCTCCCAGATCGCTCCCTTGGCTTTGAGGCCGAAGCTGCTGTGACTGTGTCCCCTTACTGAGCGCAAGCCACAGCCTGTCTTGTCAGGTGGACCCTGTAAATACATCCTTTTTCTGCTAACCCTTCAACCCCCTCGCCTCCTACTCTGAGACAAAAGAAAAAATATTAAAAAAATGCATAGGCTTAACTCGCTGATGAGTTAATTGTTTTATTTTTAAACTCTTTTTGGGTCCAGTTGATTGTACGTAGCCACAGGAGCCCTGCTATGAAAGGAATAAAACCTACACACAAGGTTGGAGCTTTGCAATTCTTTTTGGAAAAGAGCTGGGATCCCACAGCCCTAGTATGAAAGCTGGGGGTGGGGAGGGGCCTTTGCTGCCCTTGGTTTCTGGGGGCTGGTTGGCATTTGCTGGCCTGGCAGGGGGTGAAGGCAGGAGTTGGGGGCAGGTCAGGACCAGGACCCAGGGAGAGGCTGTGTCCCTGCTGGGGTCTCAGGTCCAGCTTTACTGTGGCTGTCTGGATCCTTCCCAAGGTACAGCTGTATATAAACGTGTCCCGAGCTTAGATTCTGTATGCGGTGACGGCGGGGTGTGGTGGCCTGTGAGGGGCCCCTGGCCCAGGAGGAGGATTGTGCTGATGTAGTGACCAAGTGCAATATGGGCGGGCAGTCGCTGCAGGGAGCACCACGGCCAGAAGTAACTTATTTTGTACTAGTGTCCGCATAAGAAAAAGAATCGGCAGTATTTTCTGTTTTTATGTTTTATTTGGCTTGTTTTATTTTGGATTAGTGAACTAAGTTATTGTTAATTATGTACAACATTTATATATTGTCTGTAAAAAATGTATGCTATCCTCTTATTCCTTTAAAGTGAGTACTGTTAAGAATAATAAAATACTTTTTGTGAATGCCCCTGGCCTGTCTTGTGGGCTCCCAGGGTGCTGGGTCCCGGGTGTGAATTTGGGCAGCCAGATTGCATTGCTTTTGTCGCCGGGGTGGCTGCGAGGGGAAAGCCCCTGGAATCCAGGATGGGGCCTCTGTTGGGCCTGGGTCTGATTTTGCCACTGACGTCCCGAGGCTCCTCCCCTGAACTGCTCCCATCTGGATTTCCTGTCACTGCACCAGGGGTCCTAGTGAATGGGAAGATACTGGGGAGGTGCAGGGAGGCCGTGGTTTCTCCAGCCTGTGGTCCACCCCTGAGGGCTCAACGAGGCTCCTGCAAACCCCATCTCCATTTGCTTCCTTCCAGGTGCTGAACTTTCTCTCAGCTCTGGTTTCTGAGATATTTGGTCATCAATATTCCTGTTCATTGGCAAACTTGACCAGCAGTGTCTGTGATCACTGATGTCATTGATTGCTGTCATCTTTGATCAGTGATGTTGGTCATCAATGATAGGCACCATGACTGATATTCCAGATCAATGACATGTCTGATCATGAGAGCCTGCCATCAGAGACACCTGATGACTAACAACTGATCACCAATATTTCATCCATGCCTCTGCTTAACCATGAGTTTGATCACTGACACCCACAAAATGTGATCACGAATGTCTCTAGTGACCATCTTTGCTCACCAGTAGTATGCCTGATCATAGTATCTCTTCTCACCAATGTGTTGATCGCCAATGCGCTTTGTCACTAATGTTCTAGGGCATCAATAAGTATGACCACCAATGTAATTGATAAGTGTTTTTTCTGGTGATAGACCAATCACTCACATGTAATCTCCAGCATCTCTGATCACACTGTTTCTTATCACCAGTGTTTCTTTAACAATGTCCTTGGTCAGTTGTTTCTGATCACCATTACTTCTAACTAGCAATGTGCCTGATGACCAATGTCCCTGATCATAGGATCCTCTCCCCATCATATTTCCTATCAATGTAGTCACTGGTGTTTCTGGTTCTCAATACCCCTGATTGCTCAACACTGATCATCAAGATCTCTTATCACCAATGTCTCTGATGCCCAACATCAGTGATTGCTGAATCGTCTTCAAAGTCTCTGCTGACCAATGTTCCCGTTTTCCAAAGTCCCTTATACCTCTGATCACTGACCTCCCTGGTCATTGATATCCCTGGTCATCAGAATACCCAGTCACCAATGTCTCTGATCACCAAATTCTCTAATCATTGATGTCTCTGCTCACTAGTGCCCTTGATCCCTGATGGTCTGCATTTGGTTCTCTTCACCAAGATCTCTGGACCCCATGTCTCCAGTCATTGAATCTGGTCACTAATATCTCGTATACCTTTGGCCACCAAGGACATGGACACCCAATACTTTCCCCACTAATGCTCCCGGTCATTCACAGCCGAAGCCACCCATGCCCCCTGATCAATGATTGATGACATATTTGTTCAATGATAATTCTGGTTGCCAAGACCCCTGAACACTGGCTCCTGATGGCCAGCATGTAACACACCCCTCCCTGACCAGGTTGTGTCTGATGGACATCATCTCTGGCTGACTTCACCGTCCCTAATTAAAAATCACTCTGATTGTATGTCCCTGGTCAGCCATGGCTTCTCTTCACCTTAGTTGTCATCATCTTTGACCACCAGGATCTTTATTCACCAGGGGCCCTGAGGACTGGGTATTTCTGATTGCCACCATCCTTGTTCCTTGACAGCCCTGATGTCCACCTGGTCCAGGAGATTTTCCTTTAACTCTTCCCAATACCAGGCTGCTGACACTGGGAGGTCTCTCGCTTAGAGCTGGGTGGGCCAAAGTACCAGGAAGTTCAGCACCTTGTCCCAGCTGCCCCAGCCCATCAGGATAGACTCTGACCTCCAGACTCTGCCCTGGTGTGCCACTGGTACCCCCTCTTGTCCTTCCCTGTGAAGTTGACACTGAGTACAGAAAGGAGCCAGCCTGGGGCTTGGCAGGGTAGGCACGTGCCTCCTACCTGATGCATAGTGGCCCTAGGTCCCCCTGGCCTCCACCCCCTACAACCCCAGAGCAGGAGGCCTCCTCTCCTCTTGCCAGCTGTTGCCACAGTGAGGGCAGGGTTGGCTCTGTCTCCTATGCCCCTGGATAGTGACGGCAGGACTGTGTGTTTCTGCGATCAGGTGTTTACGTGTGCACAGCCTGTTGAACATCACCTGTATGCCACGCACTGCTGTAGGCATGGGGCAACAGCAGGGAATAAAACAAACAAGAATCTGTCCTCAAGGAGCTTACATTCCAGGCATGAAGCATAAATAATAACTCTGCTTGGCCTCTGGTGAACCATCCTACTTGCTTGGCCCAAAGTCCAGAACCCAGAGCCAGCCCTGGACTGCAGAGCTTAGAGTCGAGAACCTGCAGCCTAGATCCCCAAACCAGGAACCATAGCTCTAGGCCCCAGAACTCAGGAACCAGAGCCCAAAACATACAGCCCAGGGCATGGACCCTTCAACCCAGAACCTGCAGCTTGGGGCTGAGAGCTCAGAACTTACAAAGACCTCTAAGACGGGGGCCCAGAGCCCAGACCTCAGAATCGAGTTCTCAGAACACAAAGCCCAGAATCTGGGGCCCTGAATGTGGAACCCCAAATCTACAACGTAGAGCTTGGAGCTCAGAACCCATAACTCAGCATTAAGGACATGCAGCCTTGGGCCTAGAATCTAGGTCCCAGAACCTAGAACCCCATATCCGAACCTAGAACTTGGCTCAGGACTTAAAGGCCAGAATCCAGACCCATAACCCAGAATAGCCACCAAAAGAGGCCTCCTTGTTTCTCTGTTGTGCCCCCGGCTTATTTCCTTCCTCCTGTCAACCAGCATTTTTGGAGCACACAGTGCCAGGTGCTGTCATGAGTGCTGGGAGGTGGCTAGCCAGCAGAAACAATCAGAGAGGATCCCCTCGTCCCGTGACGTCAGTTGCAAGAGAGCAGGGGCTGTGTCTGGTCACTCTTGTGTCCCCTGTGCCCCCAGTGGGTGGTGTTAGGTGCTCCCCAGTCCTCTGTAGACTAGATCTATTCACTTTCCCACAAATGTTCACCAGCCTCGTTTGTTCTTGGTGTTGGGTGGGGAATAACACACACAGAGACTCTTGATCCTATGACAAGCTCTCTCTACTCATTACCAGGAAACTCTCGGAAAGCAGGAGCTGTTTCTTTTTTCTTTCTTCCTTTTTGGAGACAGGGTCTCACTCTGTCACCCAGGCTGGAGTGCAGACGTGCTATCATAGCTCACTGCAGCCTCAAATTTCTGGGCTCAAGCCATCCTCCCACATAGCTAGGACTATAGGTGCGTACCTTCATGCCCAGCTAATTAAAAAAAGAATTTTGTTTTTTTGTAGAGACAGGATCTTACTATGTTGCCCCAGCTGGTCTCAAACTCCTGGGCTCAAGTGAACCACCTGCCTTGGCCTCCTAAAGTGCTGGGATTACAGGCGTGAGCCACCGCACCCGAATTGCAGGGCCTGTTTCTCACAAGGAGGCAGCAGCCAGAGCTGGGGGAGGCTGGGGGGTGGTGTTGAGTAGAGATGGGGGTGAAAGCCTCAGATTCAAGTCCCAGCAAGTCACTTCAGAGCAAAGAACCGAGGCTCAGGGGTTACAGTTTACAGCTTCTCTTCCCTCCTTCATAAAACAATTCACTTCTAACAGTGACTCCTGCCTCCTCGAGTCACTGTGTATGGTAAACAGTTTGAATTTTGTGGCCACAAAGTGCCCAGGCATGGCCAGGCAGGCAGGCCAGGAGCTGCAAGTGGCCGTCTTGAGTGGGTCAGGGTGGCCTTGATGATTCCCCAGGGCCTGGTACCAGGGTGGTCAGGGGGGTCGGCCTTCTTCCCTCTGTTTGCACCCCGGTGGGGCTGCCGGCCATGGACTCAGCTCGGCTTGCCCGGCCCCTTCTTCCCTGCCTTGCACAGGGACACTTCCAGGCCTGGCTTTCACACCCATTTGTAGGAAGAAACCAAGTGCCCTCTGCAACTCTTAGGGAGCAGTGCTGTTCTTCCCCACAGCACCTCCTGCCCCCCGGTGACCCAGTACTAGGATGCGGAAGGGCCCTCAGGGCCACAGAAATGGACACTGCCCTTGGGGAATGCCTGCCATCCGCTTGACACAGGGACAGGATCACCCGAGCAGCGGGAAAGATGAGGGGCAGCAGGAGAGGAGGTGGGTAGATCCTAGATGAGTTATCATACAGGATGGTTCGATCAAAACTCTGCTGGGTTTTTTTTAAAGGCAAAATGACAAATGATTCCAAACTTTATCTGGAAAAACTAATAAGATCAGCAGAAGAAGTCAAAAATTAGGAAAAATAAAGCGAGGTGTGTGTGTGTGTGTGTGTGTGTGTGTGTGTGTGTGAGAGAGAGAGAGAGAGAGATAAATGCTTTCTGATATTAAACAAGATTCTATTATCACAGTCGTTCAAACCCTGTGGTTCTGCTGTAAGAATAAACAGATCAATGGTACAGACTCAGTAAACCCGCAACAGACCCTATTATTTACAAGATAATGGGTGATAAAGGAGGTGTCCTGAATCAATGCAAAGGTGGAGGGTTACCCAATCCAGTGGTGTTGGAACAACTAGCTGGTTAGCATCTCACTTGGTGAACACTGACTGCTCTGTCCAGGCTGCAGGCAAGTGTGTGTGGGCAGCATGAGGCTTTACAAAGTGTGAATGAGTTGCAAATGATTTCAAATTAGGAGATTCACATAACAAGCTGTGGAAGGAAACAGGCAGAAGGATATACAAGAGGTCATCCCCAATAGCAGTGTGAATCCACAGCCACCAGACATCCCGATGGGCGCTGAGTCTCACAAATGATCAGATCCATGCCCATTCCACATGGGACACCACTTCCCCCTCTCAGCAGAAACGGGAAAGACTGGGCAGGTGTGGAGAAGCAGCCTGGAGATGCCTGTATGGGCAGAAATGATCTAGGTTTTGCATGCTCTCTGGCCCAGCGAGCCTCTTCCCGTACATCTCACAGAAACACTAGGATACGTGAAAATAAGCAAGCTGGAAAACAACCTGTAAAGCGGACTCTGTTTTTGTTTTTAAAATATTTGTGTAGAGATTGAAAAACACCTGGGGAGACATGTACCTGGATGATGATAATTGTTAGTTCTGAGAAGTGTGCTGTAGACCCGGGGTGCGGAGGGGGCACTTTTCCCTTTATAACTGTGGGCTGTTGTTTTGATATGTTCTGAGTATATGCCACTTGTGTAATTTAAAACATAGTCATTCACAAAAACCTGTCTTCTCTGCCTTGTTCCTAGCTGGTCTCTCTCCCTGGGATGTTCTGTCCTTCAGATAAGCCTGGAGAATTTTCTTCATGCTTCAAAACCCTGATCAAGGATCCTAGGGAAGCTTTATCTGAGTTCTTTCCCTGGGGCCCTTCAGGGCCTCCCTGGTCCCTAACCAAGGTTACTCAGGATAAAGACCCGTCCGAAGGACAGACCTGACTCCCCCTTGCTGTGCAGCTTCGAGCAAGTGGCTTGGGCTCTCTGAACCCCGGCTCCTCATCAGTCAAACAAGACCACATCTTGCAGCATTGTTGGAAGGATCATACAAGGAAGATGGAAGGTCTTGGAGAGGCCAGCCAGCAAGGAGACCCTTCTAATGCCATTTTATTCCTCCACTCTAGGCTTATCCTGGGTAGCCCAATGGGCTTCAGACTGAGCCCCCAAACCCACCTCCAATCTTAGAAGACCAGGGTGTTTGGGGACCCTGGGCAAACGGCCTGCCCATTCTGTTTCTCCTTCTCCCACAGAACCAAAGGCTGCCAGGGCCGGTGGGAGTGCCAGCGGGGTGCCCTAGGCTATTTGTAGGTGTTCTCATGTCTTTCTCTATCCCACCCAACTCAGGGGGGGTCCTCACAGATCGTCTCTCCAGTATCACTAGGGAAACTGAGGACTGGTGGGAGCAAGGATAGGGGGAGGGTCTCACGATCTCTCCCACTGGTATGCGGGCTGGAGTTGGGGAACGGGCATCCCTGGAGAGGAGAGTGGCAGCTGCTCCCTCCCACAGCCCCATCTGTCCTCCTCGGCCCCACCCCCAGTCCACACTGCCAGGCTCCCCAGGGGACCCTGGGAAAATACTGCCTCTGCTCCTTCTCCCTGGCCCCTCCCCTGCCAGGTCTGGCTGTTCTGATGTTCTGACGCTATGAGGCTGGGATCCAAGTTTCCCAGACTTTGAGGGGATGTTGGCATGGGCCCCTCCCTTTCCTCAGAATCTAGGGATGAAGGGGACTTTCTACACACACACACACACACACACACACACAAACACACACCACCAGCCCTGACACCAGCCCATACTGCTTCCTCACCTTGGACTGCATGGCCTGTCCCCTCTCCTTTGTGCCAGCCTCCTCCTGGGCCTCCCAGCCTCCAGGCTCACGCCCTGCACTCTGTCTCTTCTTCCTGAAGGTGAGGCCACCACAGGGGCTCTTCTTAACCTCTTAATTATGAATATTTCAGTTATCTAAAAATATAGCTAATAATATAAGCAACACCATGGTAGCCTTGGCATTGATTTTCTATGCTGTATCACAAACTGCCACACACCTAGCCCCTTGAAACCACACGTGTTTAGTATCTCACGGTTTCCATGGGCCAGGATCCCAGGCATAGCTCAGCCACGGCCTCTGCCCAGGCCCTCACTAGGCTGCAGTCCACCTGCTGACCTGGGCTGGCTTCTCATCAGAGGCTCAACTAGGAAAGGATCTGCATCTCAGCACCCCCCAGGTTACTGGCAGAGCTCACCTCCCTGCAGCTGCAGGAGTCTCGGCAGCTCACTCCTGCACAGTGCGCAGCTGACGGAGGCGTCAAGAGAGCTGGTGAAGCGCGGCCCCGATAGTATTCCCCTGCTTTGCGTATGCTATTGGCTGCATGCAGGTCACGTTCCTGCTCACTCTCCAGGGCACAAGCTCCAGGAGTTAGGAGAGTGGAGGCAGCGTCAAGTCCCTCTGATACCCTCCCCAGCCCAGCTTAAGGAGGGAAACACTACAGATATCATGGAACTCTCTTGACCTTGTTGTCCCCTTTGCCCGCCTCCAGAAGTAGCCAGGACTTCATTTTCCCATGCATGTTGTTATACTTTTACTCTATATGTATAAATCCTTAACGCATTATTCTGCATGTGTGTACGTTTTCAATAAATGGTGTCACAATGATGCTTTCAATGACTGGTTTGTGCTGCTCACTGCCATGCTGGGGCTGCTCCTCCATGCTCACGTATGGAGTCGGTTTCTTCGTTCTCACTGCAGTGTCATAGTCCCCTGTGCAGCTGTAACACAAGGTATTTGCTCATTCTCCTTAAGATGGACATTTCGGTCACTCCTGTCTGTTGCTACCATAAACAGTGCAGCAATGAGTGTTCTTGTCCCTATTCCCACGTGTGAGGGTTTCCCTCGGGGCATAAGCCTTAGAAGGATTTTCCAAATTGGCTGTTCCAATGTATGTTCCCACCAGCAGGGTGTGGGAATTTCAGTTGCTCCATTTCCTTGCCAACACTTGGCAGTGTCAAACTGACATTTTTACCAATTTTGTGGGTATAAAACTGAATCTCATTGCTGCTGAGGGATCTTTCTAGAGTATGCTATAGATCCCATTCTCCCCTTGTTTAAATCTTCTCAAGGTCTCCCCCTCCCAGGACACAATCCATGCTCTGTGGTCTGGGGTCTGAGCCCTGCCTTGTGCAGCCCCTGCCCCTCTCTGGGCTCTATTCCCACCATCCCTTCGGTCCCAGGTGTAGTCAACTACAGATGCCTGCTCTCTTTCCACTGAGCCACTGAGCCTGGTGCATGCTGTTCCCTTTGCATGGAACCACTCCCATGTTACAAGGCTCCTGCTTTATTAAGAAATAAATCACCAAACAGGTCACCTGTGTGTTTTAAATATTCACATTGAAGACATTAATGCCTTTGGTGCATCAAAAAGACATTGCATTATAATTGCGCTTGTCAAATGATAATTTCAGGGCTTAGAACAGAGTTCTCAACCTCGGTGCTGTTGACATTTGGGGCTGGATGATTCTTTGTGGTGGAGGCTGTCCTGTGCACTAGACAGGGATGTTCAGCAGCAGCCCTGCCTGGCCTCCACCCAGGAGATGCCAGTAGCAACTCCTCCAGTCATTGCCAAATGTCCCCTGGGGAGGGAGGACTGTCCCTGTTGAGAACCACTGATTTAGGAGATGAACTCCTCATGCCCCCAGGACAGGGTGGTCTGCAATGGGTACATGATCATAGCCATGTGATGAACACCTTCTTCCCACCTTGAAATGTTCCATGACTGAATGAACTACCTCCCTGGGGAAGGATGTCCAGTGTCGACATCCAAGACCCTTCATGTGTGTGAGGCCGACCCTGCTGGAACCTCCCTCTCCAAGCCCTGCCAAGGCGTCACCTCTTCTGACCAGCCTTCCCAGACGCCCCAGACAGTGTCACCTCTCCTTCCAGCGAGTGTTGCAGCTGCATTCGCACATTGGTGTGTGTCTGCTCCTTCCCCAGAGCCTGGGGTTGGGAGTTCCCTGCGTGGGAGGACAGGGGTGATGCTGCTGAATTCAACTGTTTCCAGCCCCCACTCAGACCAGTGCAGGGAAGAATTGTGAATCTGAATTGTTGGCCGCATAGGAGCCGCCCAGGCCCTTTGCTAGCAGACCTAGTAAGACCCAGATGTGCCCTGGACTCCAGGGAGCAGGCCTGGCTTGGGTGATGGGAGGGCCCAGGCTGAGAGAGGCACGAGGCAGCCAGACCTCCCGGTGAGGGACGGCAGGGCCCATGCTTTTGGAAACACAGCAGGGCTACAGGCCTCATGGAGGGCCTGTGTGCACATGTGTGACCATGTGTACAGGCGTGCTCACATGCATGGGGGCGTGGGTGCCTGAGCATACCTGTGGAAGTGTGGGGCACCCAATCTGACCTCCCTAAGAGCCCCAGCTTCCTGTAAGCCCCCGTCTTGCTTTGTTTTCTCTCACGGCATCTATGACACCTGCCATCATGTTAAATGTTCATGCATTATCAGTTTCTCCTATCTCCCCAACTGCATGTCAGCATCATAAGGGCAAGGCTTTGTCTGGTGCCTTCACTGACATATGGACCCCAGACCCAGGGGAGTGCCTGGTACACGGCACGTGTATGGACAACTGCTCAGGAAACGTGTGTGGGTGGCTGGGTGTGTGGGTGGCTGGGTGGCTGGGTGTGTGGGTGGCTGGGTGTGCAAATGGCTGGGTGTGTGGGTGGCTGGGTGGCTGGGTGTGCATGTGGCTGGGTGGGGGGGTGGCTGGGTGTGTGAATGGCTGGGTGTGTGGGTGGCTGGGTGGCTGGGTGTATGGGTGGCTGGGTGGCTGGGTGGCTGGGTGTATGGGTGGCTGGGTGGCTGGGTGGGTGGGTGGCTGGGTGGCTGGGTGTATGAGTGGCTGGGTGGCTGGCTGTGTGGGTGGCTGGGTGGGTGAGTGGCTGGCTGGGTGGGTGGGTGGCTGGGTGTGTGGGTGGCTGGGTGGGTGGGTGGCTAGGCATGTGGGTGGCTGGGTGGGTGAGTGGCTGGGTATGTGAGTGGCTGGGTGTGTGGGTAGCTGGGTATGTGTGTGGCTAGGTGGGTGGATTGATGGGTGTGTGTATGGGGAGATGGGTGGCTATCTGCTGGTACAGATGTGTGCATACGCATGCACGCCTTTACTCTGGAAGATACTTCAGGCTTTTTTGTTCTATACTGTTTCCAGAAAGACCCCGGAAATGCCACACCCCGGAAACTGCAGAGCCCCGTGGGTGAATGGAGAGGCTCTGGGGGTTGGATCCTCCTGGAGGCTTCGAGTAACTGAGGAACTCAGGGTAACAGCCCTGCCTAGGGTTGCTGTATGCCAGGGGGGCTGGGTGCTGGGACCCTGGAGGAGGGGAGCTGCCCTAACTGGCTGAAGCAACTTGGAACTCAGAGGGCCCCGCAAATGATGCCTTCACTCAGGCAGTAAACCCCTACTTGGGGCTAGATCTGAGCCTCCAGAGACCACATGAGCCACCACCAGGAAGGATGTACCTGGGTTGGGATGGCAGGGAAGGGATCTGGGCAACCCAGTGGGCACCTGTCATCACTGGCTTGGAGGACTGGGCAGGAAGGCTGCCTGAAGAGGTCTGAGAGCAGAGCTGAGATCGCCCTGGCACCACTGGGGAGGACGTGAGCTCACTGGCCCTTCTACGGTTGCGTAGCCCACCGCCTTCCCACCCCATGGGCCACCAATCTGCATGTAAGCCTGCCATGGGCCTGTCTGCCTACCATGGCTTCCACTGGCTCACCAGGCAGGCTGCCCTTTCATCTGTCTCTGCCCACCCATTATCGACACTGCCAGGATGCCAGCACACGCACACACAGCTCCTTCTCCATTCTGAGCTCCTCACAGTAACCCTGTGAGAGGGGACCATCATTACTTCCCTTTTACAGATGAGATGAGGACACTGGGGCACAGCCAGGTTATTGACTTCCCCAAGGACACATGGCTGGGGAGTGGCAGTGCTGGGGTTGGAACCCAGGCTGTGTCACCTGACAGGCTGAGCTCTTCCCCACTGTGGGATCTGCCCCTTGGCCCGTCTGTCTGTCCATCCGCCCATCCACTCTGTGACTGCCCACCGTTCAGCCCCTTCATTCGCCTGCCACTCTGTCCATCCAGCCGCCCGTCCATCCATCCATCGCTGTCGCCCATCCATCCTGGAGCTAATGCAGTTAGAGGACCAGGGGCCCTGAGGGGAGAGAAGGCCCCAAACTGCCCATCTGGCCGGGCCAGGGTGGCCGGGGGTGGGGTGGGCTGCCCAGGCCAGGCAGGCCTGCAGGGGGCTGGAGGGAATTAGCTGAGTGACTGCCAGGATCATCTAATTAGGAACTCTAGTGATAAGCAGATAGGATCGGGGGTGATTAGAATCCTTTTAAAAAGCCACTCCATTAATTACAGAGACAGAGAGGGGCCTCTGGCTGCTCCGAATACCAATTGGCTGCTTAATCGGCTCCATCAGCTCGCCCGGGGGAGACCTTCCTGGTACTGCTGTGTGACCTTCGGTGTGCCCTGCCCTCTCTGGGCCTCGCTTGGTCGCTGAAGGTCCTTCTCTCCCTGGCCATGGCTCGGGGTTGGCTTTAGGGTGGGCCTGAGATGAGGGACATGGGACATCTGAGGCCAGGAAGCCTAGGCTGGCTCCCCAGAGAGGGCAAATCCCCAAAAGCACCCACTGGTGAATGAGGACAGAGAGGCTTGAAGAGGGGAGGTGGCCTGACAGAATTGACGGTGGAGCGTGTGGGGCCTAAGTGTGCGCTCATGCCTGTGTGTCCCTGTCCCTCCAGCAGGCCCTATGGAGGCCTCAGAGCCCCTGATGCTCCCCACTGGCTCCCCAAAAACTGGCGTGGAAGGAGACTAGCCTGAACCCTTTGCAGAAGGGAAACTCCTCTGCACACTGCCCGGCTCCACGGTCCACAGCTCCCTTCATGGGGAGCTCCCCACAGGGGCCTCCATCTCAGGATGCCCTTGATGGTGAGGTGTGGGACCTGCTCCCAGGTGACACACCTGTTCCCGTAAGTCCTACCGAGTGGTCTGTTCTGTGTGCCCTAAGACAGCCCTGAATGGGCGGCAGTGAGGGGGTCTCCAGCCCTGTCTCCATCCTGGCTGACTCCCACAGACCCATCCCAGGAACAAGGGTTGGAGCAGGGCAGTGGCTGGAAGAAATTTCCCCTGGGAGTACAACGCAGACCAGAGCCAGGGTCTCCAACAAGGCAGGGAGGGCCAGGACGGGGAGGCGGCCACAGGATTCTTGGATGCCTCATCATACTAGGTCCTTTGTCTCTTAACATTGTTTTCACCACCCCTCCTCCACTGTCCTGATTCCATCGTCATGGAAACTTCAGGCTTCACCTTTACAATGTCAGGCCACCAACACCCTCAGCAGTGTCACCATCACCATCAACACCCCAGCGTCCCATCCCCATCTCCTCTACCACTGCCACCAGCCCCACTATCACTATCATCTCTGTCACCGTCACCACGGTGCTCTCCACCCGTGTCAGCATTGTGTCACCACCACATCACTGTCACCACACTTCCTCCACCTCCATCTCCACCCACCATCCCATCTGTGACATCACCTTATCAGCTCTGCCACCAGTATCAACCACTCACACCGCCTTTGCCATCACCACCGTCATTGCCCCCTCTACTACCACCACCATCACCACCACCGGGTCTGCCTCAGCCAGACCCACCACTGCCTCTAATTAGACTGCCACCATCATCACTGCCACCACCACTGCCCCTCCAATGCCTTCCTGATGTCACCATCTGCTTTCTCTCTGCTATCCTCACACCCAACTCCATCACAACCACCACCTTCATCTGAGCCGCCATCACCCTCACAGTACACAGCCCTCAAATGTGTACCAAGGAGGAGGACATTTACTACACGCTGCACCCTGAACAGTCTGGGACCAGCGGTCAGGGAACAAGGAATCGAGATGCTCACCTGCAGCTCCCAGGTGAGCGGCTCTCTAGAGCTTGCCTGGGAGCTGCTGAGGAGCTCACGGTATTCCAGGAAGCTCCCCATCCATGCCTCAGCCTGTGGCTCAGAAGCAGGGTCTTCGCAGAAGATTGCCCCGAGCTGTTGCAAAGCTCACCATTGTCACCTGCCTGCAACGGCCTCTCTTTTCCACTCTCCAAATCCCTTGTATTGGCAGGCTCTAGTCTGGAATTATACCGGTGATGGGATTCTGGAAAATCCCTCAGATTTCTCCAGGATGCAAGGAGACCATGGAAGAGGTTGGTGTAATGCCAAGTTAGCAACAGAAAATACAGAGCCCCACACCTCAGTGCCATCACCATCGCCATCGGCACTCACACCAGCATGTCCACCACTGTGTCCTTCTCACCCCTCGGCACCCCCCTCTACCATTGCCTCTTCCACAACCACCCTCACCACCATCCTCCATTAATAGCACAATTCCTGCCTCCTATCCCATCACCACCACGGGTGTCCCCGGCACCAGCAGCACCAACACTGCTCCCAGCAGAGCCATCGTTACCAGCCCCGCTGTCAGTCCCATCTTGAGCATCTGGCATATGTTGGAGAACTGCTCACTCCCTCTTCCCCATGGGAATCTCAGGCCTCTCTTCCTATTGCCCTGAGATTTGCAGAACCTTCCTGAAGGAAACATTCTTTGCCCCATGGATACTGGCCTTGACCATGGGATGCAGCAAGACTGCCACACATCATGGCCCAACAGAAGCTTTCAGAGGCAGCCCAAGTTCCTGCTGTCTCTGAGTGGCACTGTCATGAGAGAGGGGTGTGCAGGTCAGAGCTGATTCTCCAGCCTGGGACCCACAGTGAGAAGCTATGGGAGGTGGGGCCCTGGCAGCTGCCTGTAGGCACCAGTGAGTGAAGTGGGGGGAACTAGATGTTTGTCGTGAGCCACTGAGAGGTGGAAGCTGTCACTGTGGTATAGCCGAACAAGATACAACCTCTGCTACCTCCACCACCTTCACCTTCATCATCACCATTACTGTCACCACTGCCAACCACACCAATGGCTCACTAGGAGCCATTCCCATCACCTCCTCATCATACCTGCACCATCACTGCCAACCACAACAAAGGCTCGCTGTTACCATCTCCTCTGGCATGACCATCACCACCACCACTACCATCATCAATTACTCTCAAGCACAAGCCTTGCTGCTGTCACCACCAGCATCACCATCATCATGATCAACTCCACCATCACCCATAATTACTCTCCCCCTCACACCCACCATGACCATTACCTCCACATCAACACTGCTCCCATGGTCACCTCTACTATATAATGACACCTTATCCATCTCCATGGACACCCACCGTGCCTCTCCCCACCAGCAACACAGTCAACAGCAGTGCCTCTCCCACTGCCACCGCCATCATGGAGAACTGTGCAGGGCAAGCATCTTTCTCCCGCCCCAGGAACAAGCCTGCAAGGGACAGCAGGTGCTAACTGCTAACCGAGACATAGTGACAAAAATCCAGCCACAGAGATAAAGAATCAGGTTCATCTGTAGCTACATCCAGTGGAGAAGTTCTGCTCTTCAACTCCTCTGCTAAGCCACATGTGTCAGCAGGTGTAGGTGGGTGGATGCCCAGCATGGGGGTGCGAGTCGTGCTTTTGATAAGCTGCATGGAGGGACAGCGATGGTCACTGGAGGCTGGGTTTACAAAGTGTCTCTACAGTCTGTCTCCATTCCTCCTGGCATTTGGGATTGGTTAGAACACACACTGTCCCCTGCTAGGAGCCTGAAACCTAGCACCCATGAGCACTGAAAGAAAAGAGAGAGAGGGAGGATAATAGAAAGGGATGAAGACTAGAAAAAGGAAGAGGAGGAAGAAGGGAGGAATGAAGGAAGGAAGGAGGAAGGAAAGAAGCCAGGAGTGAAGAAGGGAGGGAAGGGAGAAGGGGGAAGGGGAGGGAGGAAGGAAAGAAAGAAGGAAGGAAGGAGAAAGGGAGGAAGGAAGGAAGGAAGGAAGGAGGAAATGAAGGAAGGAGGGGGAAGGGAGGGAGGGAGGAGGGAAGGAAGGCAGGGAACGGAAGGGAAGGGAAGGGAAAGAAGGAGGGAAGGAGGGAGGGAGGAAGGGAGGAAGGAAAGAAGGCAGGCAGGAAGGCTATCTTTAGTTAAGACTTGGTGACCCAAACATCTAGGCTCTTTATTGGTGTGGTTAGTAGGTGGTTTAGCATGGTTTTGATCTTAATTGGAGTGGGGTGAGGTGAAGGTAGGAACAGATATTAATCAGTATTGTGAATTGCTGTTTCTATATATGATCCAACACCAGAACAAGAATTAAAGGAATATAAATGCCTAAGAATATTTGGTTACCTCACTCACCTGATTCGTTTTCTAGGGCTGTTACAAATTATTACAAACTGGGTAGCTCAATACAAAAGAAATCTCTTCCCCCAGTTCTGGAGGCCAGAGGTCTGAAATCGAGGTGTTAGTGGGGCCGCACTCCCTCTGGAGGCTGCAGGGAGAACCCTCCTGGCCCCCAGCTTCCAGCTGCGTCAGTGTCCATCTCCTATACGGACATGTGTCACTGGATTTAGGGCCCACTCAGATAATCCAGGATGATCTCATCTCGACATCCTTAATTTAATTACATCCGAAAAGATCCTTTTTCCAAATAAGCTCACATTCAGAGGTTCCAAGGATTAGGATAGGAACATATCTTTTTGGGGGCCACCATTCAACCCACTACAGTCAGTAATCAATATTTATCATCAATTCCTATTTTTCTTACCAGAATTGAGTGGAACACTTCTTTGGATTTGCTGTCCGCTGCAGCCTTGGCCCTGGTTTCACATCCCCTCCCTCACTGACTCGCTGTGTGACCTTGAGCACTGTGTGTCTCTGAGCCTGGTTCATCCAAGAGTTTACCGACGGCCCTCGTGTGCCAGCCACTGTCCTAGACAGGGACAGACTTTCCCGCCTTTGTGGAGCTTACCCCGGAAGACCTGGCCAGATAATGGGCACAAAAAAAGCAGGCTCTTGTCCCCACCCCAGCCTGCCTGAACCCCACCTTGGCCTCCTCTTGCCTCAGCTGCTGCCCAGCCATCGGCCGAGTGGACATACCCAGGACGCCCTTGCCCGCCTCCCCCACCACGGCCACAGACCTTTGTCACTCACCAAGGCTGGAATCCCGTGGCTGATCCTGCCTCTGCCCTTTGGCTCCCGGGACTCAGCCCACACCACCTGGGTCACAGAGCATCCCATTCCCACACACCGTTGTGGCCACCTCACCAGCAGGGGCAGGCCCATATGCCCAGGTTTGCCTGGTGAGGAGCTGGGGGCGGGGGTATGCCCCGCCCCGGGAGCTGACGTCATAAAAGGAGCTCTGGAGGGCAGCCCACTCTGGCCTGGCCCCACAGCGGCAGTGTCCCTCCCCTCCCCCCACTCCTCTCAGTGGGGGCCCCTCCAGTCCCTGAGAATTGGTACTACGAAAAGGTGAACTCCTGGGCAGAATCTTGCCTAGAGCTTGCGGAGTCCAGCCAGGCCCCTGCTGAAGGGCCCCAGACCACCGGCCACTTCTCCCCCGTCCATCTGACCAGCTGGGCCCCTGCGCCCACCTGGCCTCCACGTTCCCTCTCCTCTCACCCACACCCCTGGCCATGGCTAACTACTACGAAGTGCTGGGCGTGCAGGCCAGCGCTTCCCCGGAGGACATCAAGAAAGCCTACCGCAAGCTGGCCCTTCGTTGGCACCCCGACAAGAACCCTGACAATAAGGAGGAGGCGGAGAAGAAGTTCAAGCTGGTGTCTGAGGCCTATGAGGTTCTGTCTGACTCCAAGAAACGCTCCCTGTATGACCGTGCTGGCTGTGACAGCTGGCGGGCTGGTGGCGGGGCCAGCACGCCCTACCACAGCCCCTTCGACACCGGCTACACCTTCCGTAACCCTGAGGACATCTTCCGGGAGTTTTTTGGTGGCCTGGACCCTTTCTCCTTTGAGTTCTGGGACAGCCCATTCAATAGTGACCGTGGTGGCCGGGGCCATGGCCTGAGGGGGGCCTTCTCGGCAGGCTTTGGAGAATTTCCGGCCTTCATGGAGGCCTTCTCATCCTTCAACATGCTGGGCTGCAGCGGGGGCAGCCACACCACCTTCTCATCCACCTCCTTCGGGGGCTCCAGTTCTGGCAGCTCGGGGTTCAAGTCGGTGATGTCGTCCACCGAGATGATCAATGGCCACAAGGTCACCACCAAGCGCATCGTGGAGAACGGGCAGGAGCGCGTGGAGGTGGAGGAAGACGGGCAGCTCAAGTCGGTGACTGTGAACGGCAAGGAGCAGCTCAAATGGATGGACAGCAAGTAGGCGCTGGCCACCCGGCCCTGCCTTCCCACCACCACCACCGTGCATGGGGCAGCAAACACGTGGGGCCGCAGACATAGCCTGATGGTTAATAAATGTGCCAAGTGAGTTCATGGCATAGCTTTCTCAGCTTTGTGGGGACATGGGGCCAGCTCCAGCCTAGTGAACATGAAGGAGGGAGTGGGTGCTGCCTCCAGGGCCTGGGCTGTTTCTATCAGGAAGCCAGGGGTGGTTCTGCAGGGGGACTGTCATCTCTCCTGTGCCCACCATCTGGGTTGACAAATAACGTGGCTGCCCTGTCCTGATTACCTCAAACCCAACCCTGACCCCTATCCACTCTCTACTGCTGGCCCCTGCCATCTGCACAGGCCTTGCTGCTCCCGTTCTCAGCCTTCCCCTTTCTACCCACCCGCATAAGTTCTTCCCGGGACAGCTGTGCCAAACCCACGTTCAGTCACGTTGCCTGGTAGCTTTAAATCAGGCTCTCCCTGCGCTAAGCATAAGGACTGCACATCTCATCCTCACCACAAGGGCCTGGTGGCCTGGGCCCACCCACCTGCCCCGGCCTTCTGTCTCTGGTCTCTGACCTCCCACCGTGCTGGCCTCCCCAGTTGTTGCACTGCACCACACACCCTGCAGCCCCAGGGCCTTTGTACAGGCCACGCTCCCTGGCGAGTGCCCACTCATCTTCAGGCCTGGCATCCATGGGTGGGGGCAGGATCCCAGGGAGCAGGTCTCAGCCACGTGGAGCCAGAGGTTTCCCCAAGTCAGAGCCAGGCTGACCCCCTCGGAGGGTGAGTGAGCTCCCCGTCACGGGAGGGTGCCGGTGCTAAAAAGGAAAGGGGACTCTGTCCTGATGACCTGAGTCCTGCTGAGTGCCAATCTTTAAAAAGTATGTATTTTAAAAGTAACGTTTTACTTTGAGGCTGGGTGCGGTGGCTCACGCCTGTAATCCCAGCACTTTGGGAGGCTGAGACGGGCGGATCATGAGGTCAGGAGTTCAAGACCAGCCTGGCCAACGTGGTGAAACAACCATCTGTACTAAAAATAAAAAATATATACAAAAATTAGCCGGGCGTGGTGGTGAGTGCCTGTAACCACAGCTACTCCAGAGGCTGAGACAGGAGAATTTCTTAAACCCAGGGGGTGGAGGTTGCAGTGAGCTGAGATCATGCCACTTGCACTCCAGTCTGGGCAACAGAGCAAGACTCCTCCTCAAAAAAAGTAACATTTTACTGTGAAACAATCTCAAACTCACAGATGTGTCAGGCACTATTAATTGGATGCAATTCAAGAAATATTGATTGAGCACCTGTTAGACACTGGGGATACAGCAAGGAACAAAACAGGCAGACCCCTACCCTCATGTGGTTAGTATTCTAGTTGAGGGAGACGCATGAAAAACAGGTGTGCAGAACATGGTCCCCACTAGCAATGAACGCCGGAGAGGAAATGGGCAGGTGAGCTGACTGAGAAGGGGGCTCAGGGAGTGGGCAGGGGAGTGTTGAGTCACTCAACACTCAACAGAGTGGCCTTGCCGCGCGCGGTGGCTCATGCCTGTAATCCCAGCACTTTGGGAGGCCAAGGTGGGTGGATCACAAGGTCAAGACCATCCTGGCTAACACGGTGAAACCCCGTCTCTACTAAAAATACAAAAAAATTAGCTGGGCGTGGTGGCGGGCGCCTGTAGCAGTCCCAGCTACTCGGGAGGCTGAGGCCGGAGAATGGCTTGAACCTGGGAGGCGGAGCTTGTAGTGAGCCTAGATCGCGCCACTGCACTCCAGCCTGGGCGACAGAGCGACACTCTGTCTCAAAACAAAACAAAACAAAAAAACGACAAAAACGAAAAACAAAACAAAACAAAAAAACAAACCAACAGAGTGGCCTCCATTTCTGAGGGGGTGACGTCTATCAGGAACTGGAATGAAGGTGAGGTGCTGGACCATAAGGCCATCTGGGGAAAAAGCGTTCTGGGCAGAGGGAACAGCAAGCGCAAAAGCCTGGGGCAGGAACACGCCTGCCCCTGTTTGGAGAACAGCAAGAAGGCCAGGAAGGTGGCTATACAGGGTTCCATTTAATGCCCACAACTGTCCACAACCCTCCCAGACAGGGGTCATTGACCCCACATTATCCAAGAGGAAACTGAGGTCTGGAGAGGAGAGAGTCACACAGCTGGCAAGTGGCTATGCTAGAATATCACCCCAGGTGTTGACTCCAAAGGACCTGCCTTTAAAATGGTGGTGATGATGATGATGATGCTGGCGGTGACAGCCCAGGGAGATGCGTTTGAGTGCTTGAGTGCAGGTGGCAATTCCTTGTTCCTTGGGGCTGGAGTAGAAGCCAAAAAGGAGGTGATTCCAGGTTTGGGGGTTAAAGGATGGTCAGTGACAGGGTCTCTGGCTCCCTGGCTGGGGCAAGGTGATGTGGCATGGCCACAAAAGGCGTAGCACCAAGTCGACTAGGATCTGGTCAGATTTTGCTCATTTCTGCATCCCAACTCCCAGCCCAGCTCGTGGCATCTAGTAGGTGCCCAATAAATGATATGAAATGAAAGAAGGGAGGAGCACTGTGTCAGGGAAGAGCAGGAACCAAGCAGCATGCTCAGAGGACACTCTCTGGAGCTCAGGACAGGAGAAGACACTGGGAAGCCTTTAACCTAGCCGGGAGGGTGAGGCTTGGTTGAATAAGGGGAACACCCAGTGAAGAACTCATCCCATTTCCAGATGCAGAGCTGGTCTGAGGGGCACTCACGAGGGATGGAGAGGCTGGGAGGTGGGCCTGCTGCTTTTCTCCAAGGGAAGCCTGCTGAAGTCCTCTTCCAGGAAGACAAGGGGCATCACCCCAAGATCTTTAGGGCTTGAAAGGCTCCCTTGGCTTCAGCATGTGTCTCGGCCTAGAGGACACAGTCGGCAACTTGGCGCTGCGGCTGCATCTTGAGGCTCGGGCCAGGTTGTGGCTCCCTGGGTTCTGCCTCTGAGAGCCCCTGGGACAAGCCGGCAGCTGGAGGTCCCCTAACCACGTTACAGGCAGGGCAGGAGAGCCCTGTGACACGCAGAAGGTCAAACCCCAGGTCCCAGTCCTTCCCTGGGACTAACTTCATCAAAGCCCCCACTACAGCATTAACCACCTGACCTCTGTCCCCGCCGACTTGCTAATTTCACCAATTACTGGCCAGCTGTGGCTGCGTCAAGTGGGTCTGCTTAGCACAGGCAGCTGCTGAGCAAATCCAATTACAGCCCAGCAGCCCAGGCGGCCACAGTCCTAGTGCTGGGTGCACAGCAGAAACCTGGGTGCTTGCACAGCACCGGTCCCCAAACACCCCAGGACTCCCGGCTCTCTGCTTCCTTCCTGTTGCCCAGCCTCACACCTGGAGCTGGCACCAGCTCTCTCCAACCAGACCCGACATGGCATCCCCTGCTCAAATGCCTCCGGGACCCCAGCCACTGACCCACTCAGCCGAGCATGTGACACCTGGCGGAATCCCTGTGTCCACCTTTAGCCCCACTTTACAGACAGAGAAGCTGAAGCCTGGCAGCTTAAGTGACTTCCTCAGGAGCACGTCTGGGGTTAAGTCCAACCCCCACGCGGCACTCAAGGCCCAGGGCCTGCCCCACAGCACTGCTGGCTCCAGGCCCTTTCTGCTGCAGCATCACGCTGTTGCCCGTGCCTGGGCCGCCCTTCCCATCTCCTTCGGCTTGTTAAAGTCATCCCAGGAGGCCCCCACTCTGTGTCACTTTCTTGAGGAGGCCTTGCCAAGCTGCACTGCTGCGGCAGGCCATTCTGGCCTTTCCTGGAGTCTCTTTTAGGCTGGGCTGTGTGTCTGGGGGCCAAGTCTGAAGCAGCGAGGTGTCCTGGGAGCCACTTTCAGAGCCAGATGGGGCAGTGAGAGGTCCGGGAGCCACTTTCAGAGCCGGGCGGGGCAGTGAGGGGTCTGTGAGCTACTTTCAGAGCCAGGCTGAGGCTGGCCGCACCTTGTGCGGCACACTAAGTGGAGTCCGCTGAGGCTCCTCTGCTGCCCCAGGCCCCATCCCAGCGTGGATTCTCCAAGCAGAGCTCAGCAGAGGGGCAGGGGACACTGCAGAGTGTAGCTCCCCGCGAAGATGATGGCCGTGTCCCAGTTGGGTCATTGTCACCCACTGGACATCACGCCAGCCTCCTCCCTGGCCTCCTCCCTTCCCTCTTTCATCCTGTTTATATCCCAGCAGCCAGAAGGATTCTGTGAAAGCCTGAGCTTTGTGGAACACTCAGGAGTGGAAGCTGCTGTCCCCAAGGCGGCCCACAGGCCCTTCCCCAGCCTGCACAGTGACCGCCTCGGCTTCCCCATCACTCTTTGCTCCAGCCCCCGGCCTCCTCCCCTTCCTACTCACACTGGCGTGTTCCTGCATGGGGCCTCTGAGCTGGCTGTGACCTCCACCCAGAGCCCTGCTCTGGATCACACGCAGCCTTCCCTCGCCTCAAATCCAGGCGCGCCTCCCCGCTCTCTCTTGCTTTCTGTGCTCTGGCCCCACCCTGCCTCCCACCTCCAGCTTTCGAACATGCTGACCCCATTGCCTGGGACCCACAGCCCACCCAGCGAACCCCACTGATTGCTACTTCCTTGGGAGGTCTCAAACCGGGGCAGGTCTCCATCTTCTCCACCCTCCACTCCTGGGTCCATACATCCTGTGAGGGCCCTGGCTGTCTGAAGGGACCAAAATGCTGTGGGGGAGGGAGTGGACAAGATGGCATCTAAGCAAGGATTCAATGAAGCTGGAGCATTTTACAAGTTAGAGTGTCAAGGCCCTGGGAGATGCGCTGGGCTTGCAGAGCAGGTGGGGACCCAGGCCTGTGGCCTCTCAGCCACGAGGAGCTGGTTTACTCAATTGGCCTTGGCCCCTAAGGCCTGGCCAGGCAGGGGTTGCCCACTGGGGCTCAGGCTTCTGCATGGACTGGGTGGGCAGGTACAGTGTTCTCAGCCTACTGCACAACCTCCCCCACGCCTTCCACCGAGCCAAGCAAGAGATATGACTGTTCACCCCCATTTTGCAGATGCAGAAACTGAGGCTCAGAGGGCGAGAGACGTGCTCAAGGTCACAGGGCCACAGTGAGAACCAGTTCTGCACCCCTCTTCCTCTCCCTCTGCACTGGGCCTGGGGCAGGGTGGGTGGGGCGCAGGCAGCCTCCTGCCCGCCTTCCCTCCCTCTGGCCGGTCGATGTTATCGCAGCTGATTTAATTTCAAAGACGGATTGAGCTGCGGAGGGAGGGAGAGTGGTTAATCGCAGCCGCCATCTGCCCCGTTGTCATGGGGATGGGCTCCCAGCAATTGTGCGGGGCAGACCCAGATAAGGGCACCAAGTGGGCTGGAGGGGATTGTGGTGGGCGGGACGGGGAGGGCAGGAGAACTGGGAGCAACGAGACACGGTGACAGAGACAGGGAGAGACACAGAAGGAAGGGGAGACTGGGATTCCGGAGACCCAGGGACCATGGAGACACAGAGATGCCAAGGAGCCAGGGAGATAGCTCGAGGTGCCCAGGTGAGGGGTGGAGATGGAGCCCCTGGAGGGGGCTGGGGGAGGGTGTGAGACGGCTGCCTTCCCGCCTCGCTGCCTACCCGGCCCCAGGTGGCCTGCCTGTCCCCTCTCCCCCAGCAGCCTGCCACTGAGCAGGAGATTCTCCTCTTGTCTGCTGGGGAAGGGTCTTGGTAGGAAGTTCAGGCCTCCCCAGTCTGCCCACTCTGCCATGCCAGGGTCATAGACCTCACAGCCCCTCCCTGGCCGGACAGGGAACCAAGCTCAGCTCAGAGCTGGGATGTCCACTGCTTCCACAGACAACTCCCAGGGCCCTCGGTCTGGCTTTTACAACAATCACATCGTCTAGATTTGCCAATACTCACTTCATCTTGCAGATGGAGGGTGGCACTGAGCGCCTGCATTGGGCTTTGTCCACTCACTGTCATCTGCCTTCCAGGGAGCCCTACCCGGTGGGCATCTGTATGCCCATTTCACAGGACAGAGTCGTCCAATCCCTCCCAGAACAGGGGCCCGGAACAACAGCCCCCATCTAACTTATCCCAGCAAGCATTTATCATCACCTCTGTGTGCTGGGACTTGGGAAGGTGCCAGGAGACAGCAGAGAAGGAGGCGAGACGTCTGGACTCTGCTCTGCCAGCCACCACTGCTCAGAACCCTTCACCAGGCTCGGGCTGGCATGCCTCAGCCCTGCCCTTCTACCTTTGCAGATGCTGTTTCTCCCCGGAGCGACTCCCTGCCACCTGCACCAACCCCACTGCCACCCTGCCTATGCCACCCCACAGCCTGGTTCTGCCTGTGCCTTGCACCCACCAGGAGCTAGCTCGAGGCCCTGGGAGGTGGGTGCTGCTCACAGCTTGTTCCCAGTGCCCAGTTCACAACATGGGCCTCAAAATACAGGCTATGAATCAGGGCTACACCTCTACTGGCAACCTCAGCATAAGACTGGGACTCAGACTTCAGGTCTGCACAGCACTGTCCACTGGATGCTTCCCTGGTGGCCCCGGGGCTCTGCAGATGCTCAGTTTCCAATGCACCCGATCCCTGCCCCAGCCTCCTCCCTGGGCCCTGGGCACCAGCACCAGCTTGTCAGAGGTGGCCTCCCCACGGCCCGAGCCATCTTCTGACCTGGGCACATCCCCTCCAGCCTTCAGAAAATACCAAGGTGCTCTGCTTCTTGCTGAGGGCATGGATCATTCATCATCATGAGTCTGAAGTCCAAACTCCCCAGAGTGGCTCACAGGGAAATATTAAAATCCACTCCAAGGTCTTAAGGACAAATTCAAACTGCCCGCTCTGTCCGCGGGTGGAAGCCTCCACACTCCTCACCAAGATCCTGGACAAAGTCCAAACCCCAGTTGGGACCCACAGGCTCGCATGGGGTCCAACCTCTTCTCCAGCCTCGTCCTTTACCGCCTCCCACCTCTCTCTTTTACCATCAATGGGCTATTTTTGTATTTGTTTAATTGTGGTAAAATACCCACAACACGATTTACCATTTCACCATTTTTACGTGGACAACTAAGAGGCATGAAGCACATTTGCACTGCTCTGTTGCCCTCACCACCATCCGTCTCAGGACTCTTTCCTCTTCCCAAATGGAAGCTGTCCTCACTCACCTCTAACTCTGCACCCCCTAGCTCCTGGTGCCCCCCATTCCACTCTCTTTCTCTGTGAAGTGGACTACTCCAGGGACCTCAGGGGCCTGGGGGCTGGGACAAGGGTGCGGGCAGCCCACCTGCTTCCTGCTGCCTCTGAGGCCACGCTTGGGCTTTGCTTGGGTCCCTCCTCACCCCAGCGCGTCCTCTCTTTTGCAATTCTCTTTCACTGTCTTTTGGGTTTTTCAGAAAAGGAGCCTGCAATCATTTTCTATTGCTTCTGTAGAAAATTACTACAAACTTTGTGGTTTAAAGCAACCCAAATTTATTGTCCTACAGTTCTAGAAGCCAGAAGTCCCAAATGTGTCTCCCTGGGCTAAAATCAAGGTGTCTTCCTCTTGAAGTGTCCAAGGGAGGACCCGTCTCCTGGCCTTTTCCAGCCCAGAGGCCACCTGCATTCCTTGGCTGGTGGTCCCTTCCCCCATCTTCAAAGCCAGCAGCACAGCATCCTCCAGTCTCCTTTTCTGACTCTGACCCTTCTGTTTCCTCTTGTAAGTGCCCTTGGGATTACATCTAGGGCCCACCTGGATGATCATGTATAGTCTTCTTGTCTCAAGATCCTTCACTCAGTCACATCTGCAAAGTCCCTTTTGCAATCTAAGGGAACACACAGGTTCTGGGGATTAGGACGAAGACATCTTTGTGGGGAGGGGACATTGTTCCACCCACCACAGAGCCTGCAGAGAGAAGAGGTGATCTCCCCACAGGGCTGGACAGAGGGGCTGTTGAGAGGCTGGCTCAAAGCCACCTACTCCTCAAATGGCCTCCCGCCTGGGGGAACCATATTCCAGGTTGCTCAGGGAGGGGCACTCGAATGCCTGGATCCCTGGGCAGGACCTGCCCCTAGTGCCTGTCCCTGAAGAGGAGCCTCCTGGGGAGGAGGTAGATTGTGCCTGGGATGCAGAGCAAAGGAGGAGAGACCAGGAGGCTAGGGCTGAGAGGCAGGGCTGGGAGGAGGCCCATGTGGCAGGAGCTTGGCAGCAGGACCTGGGAGATGGGATGTGGGGGCAGGGCTGGGGGTTCCTGAGCAGAAGAGCCAGTGCCTGCATGTGGCCAAGGCTGGGAGGGTGCAGGACCCGCTTGGCCCCCCTGCTGGAGACCTCAGGTTTGTCCCTGCCTCTCTCTGGGACTGGCTTTCTCTATCTTTTTCCCCTGGCTCTGGAGACACTCCCAGCGGTTCCTCCCCAAGGCTGTGTCCCTTGTCCCAGAGCCCTGGCTGTGGCATCTCGTCTGTCTAGAGGCATTAGTCACCCTTCAGTTTAACCCTGGGAATGGTCTGGGTCTGGGTCCCCAGGAGGGCCCAGGATCACAGCTCAGAGCAGAGGATACAGAGGGGCAGCTGGCCCCTGGGGACCCAGGATGCAGACCATGTGGAGATGTGGGTCCACAGGTAGTTTTGTTTTGTTTTAAGAAAAGATATGATCACAGCCTCCATCAGCATCTCAGAGGGGTCCAGGACTCACCAAAGGTTGAGTGTGACCTCAGGCAACATTGCTGAGCGTCCCTCCCCATCCCTGGGGCCATGTCCCTGGGCCTGGCACTCCCTAGCTCGGTGGGGTGTGGCCTGGGGACAGGCCTGCCCTCCATGGGGCTTGGGAGCACGGGTGCTGGGCAGCGCGGGGCTGGGGCCACCTGCCCGCCAACCACACTGCGCTGTCACACCCCAAAGCAGGAACCTGGCACCGCCAGTCACTCAAGCCCCCGGGCGCCGTGGTTATGCCTGCGGTCACCCGAGCAGCCGGTCAGGAAACCCCTGGGGTCGTGGGGTTCTGGGGTGGTGGTGAGGGCACGAGTCTCCTTCAGGTTCCTGGGTCGCTGCTGGCTTTGGCCACCTCCCACTACCTTGAGCCTCGCCATACCCACTCAGCCTTCCCCCAGCCACTCGGCTCCCATCCCCAGGAGCGTCCCTTCAACGCTTCCCTATCAAGGGCGGCTGGAGCTGCGTGTTTTCTGCGGCCTGTGTTTCCCCTGTTTCTCCCTCCCTGGGATCCCAGGAACAAGTCCTTCTCTACCTGCAGGTTCCTGAATATCTTCATCTGGCATTCAAGTTGCCTGGGTCTGGGTCCAGCTCTTGAGGGCAGGGACACTTTCTGATCTGACCCCAGTTTGCCCAGCACAAAGCGGGGCTCATTTGAGCATGGAGGTGACTGGAGAAAGCTCTGCCCTTCGTCGCTAAAGGAGATCGGGCTGGTGGCCCCAGAATTCCTGTGGCCATAGGAGAGGGAGCAAACAGCCCAGCGTGGCCCTGCTGTGCTGCTGAGTCCCCCCGGCTCTCCCACGGCATGGCTGTGGCGTAGCCCCCCAACCTGTGTGGTCCTGGAGCTGGGCCCTCCAAGCATCCCTCTAGGAAAGGCAGGCAGGAGCCGTAATTGCAAGAGGCTGATTGTCATACTTGCTGTACGTTGATATTTGATTAAAAAGGTAATCAGTAATTGGGCTTATTGATCCGCTGTCAGCTGCCAGCTAGGCAGGGCTGCCTGTGGAATTGTTCCCCAGGAGAGTGGCCACGCTTCTCTCTGAACTGGGTCAGCGGTGCCAGCTCTGCTCACACCAGCTCAGCCACTGATTTTGCGGCCTACCATGGGCTGGATTCCCTAGCAGCTGGCGGATACTAGTGGAGTGTCGCTGCTGCTCACTGCAGGGGCTGCCCTGGGGGTGGCGGGATGGGGGTCAGCCCTCCCCAGGCGGCCGTCGCCAGGCGGGGCATTGCCTCCCAGTCTGGTCTCTGCCTTGGGCTCCAGGTGATGGGTCTACCAGGCAGTGTCCTGAGTGCTCCACCCTGGATGGCCCCTCTCTCCCCATGCCTCACAAGCACTTGGCATCTTCTTCTCCAAAGCCAATCCCATCTTGTGTCCCTTCCCAGGCACCTGGGAGTCATCCTGAATGCCTCCCTCAGACACCACATCCTGTGGGTTCTCCCTCCAGGCCCTGTGCCCTGGTCAGAGGCTCCATCATCACCCACCTGAAGGCAGTGAGGAAGCAGGCGCAGCTCGGGGCGGCATTCCCTGTGGAGAGCACAGCCGGTGCCAAGGCCCTGGGGCAGGAGCACTCCCGAAAAGCAAAGCATCCCCTGAGCCGAACGGGGTGAGGAGGTATAGAAGAGGTGGTAGAGGCTACACCACGTCAGAAGACTCATGGGCCCTTTGAAGAGCTGTGTTCCTTGTGGAGGAGATGGGCAGCCATTGGAAGTTGCGGGTGGAGGAGGAGCTGGCCTCTGTTCTGTCTGGACTGCTCTGGCTGCTGCATGGGGCAGGCTGCTGGGGCCCCGGCATGGGGAGGCACAGCGGTGCAGGCGGATATTGGGAGGCTGCATCTGGAAAGTGAACTGATGAGGCTTGCTGGTGGATCGGATGTAGGGGCGAGGGACAGGAGTCAAGGATGGCCCCAAGGCTGCTGGTAAGACATGTTGTAGATGCTGCTCACAGGACAGTGCAGGGAGCAGGTGTCTGGAGGAAAGTCCCATGCATCGCCGGTCAGGCTGAGTTTGAGGTGTGACAGGCAGCCATGTAAGAAATGCCTGGTAAATAGCCGGACACGTGGATTTGGCTTCGGGATAAAAGTCAGGACCGGGGATGGATACTCGAGACTTATTAGCTTATAGCATGGTATTAAGGGGATGAGAGTGGACAAGATTACCCAGAGAGTGAACAGAGATGAAGAAAAATCCAAGGACATTCAGAGGCCAGAGAGAGGAGGAGAGGCCAGCAGGAGGTGGGAAGGAACGGGCCCCATCTAGCTCACCCCACCGTTCCTCGTCTCATCTGCACCAGTTAGCATTCTCTGGCTACAAGGGACAGACTTCAACCCCAGCCAACTTCAGTTAAAAGGGAGGAGGAACACTATTGAATGGGTACAAGCTGAGTCAAAAGGAGAAGAAATCACACAGGTGTGGTGAGGCCAGGAGCCCAGGCAGTCCTGGATTGAAGGATGGTCTCCTTAGGTTGCTGCCATTGGAACAGATCAGCCCCTCATTTCCCCTCCTTACATGAATCTGCTCAACGGTCTGTCGGCCATGCTGGTGTGTAGGAAGGTGATCACCGTCACTAGCTTCACCATCATCATCCCTGTCATCATCACCGTCATCCCCTCAGCCACCTCCCGCACCACTGTTCCCACTGCCCTTGCATGTCGCCACCACCACCGTCACCTCCACCTCCACCAACACACCCTCATCGTTCAAAACCATGCCAACACTACCCCCGCCCTGCCATCGCCATCACGACTGTCACCAACACTCCAGACACCATCACCGAGCGAGGTTTGAGCATCCACTACGTGACTGGCAGGAGGTTGGATTTTGTTGACACCACGATGAGCAAAGATCACTCCTACCTTCAGGTGGGTTATAGTCTAGTGAAGGAAACAGATTTGACTCAAATAGTCACAACAAAAGTTGTGAAACTATTACTCAAATGTGCACCACAGGAGGCAGAAGGGAAGATGAGCAGAACTGCCCTGAGAACAAGCTGTCAAGATCTAAAAGGGAGCAGGGGTGATCCTGGAGAGGAGCATGTGGCAGGCAGAGGGTCTGCACCTGTGTAGTCCCCACAGCAGGAGGGACAGGTGATGCCAGGGCTGGAGAAGACCACTGTGGCTGGCAGGTGGTGGCAGGTGCTGGGCTGTCAGGGACCACATGGTGCAGGGGCTGTAGGATTATTGTCACCTGGATGCTAAGAGCAATGAGAAATTACAGACGGGTTTGAAGCAAGATGGTACTATTGGATTTGCACTGTGAAAAGATCATTCCAGCAGCCACGTGGAGAAAGGATGACAAGGCCAGCATGGCAGCAGGGACCAGTTACGAGGAGTCCCATTCATGCAGGAAGGTGGCTGTGGGGGAGACAGACAGAAGAGGATGGACTCAACACTTCTCTGGGAAGTGAGATCCCAAAGGTTGTGGTGATGGGTCAGAATCTGACTAAAAGGAAGGGACAGTTGAGGCAGACCGCCAGGTGTTTGGCCCAAGCATCAGAATGAATAGTGGGGCCCTCCACTGAGACAGGGAAGGAGGAAAAGGACTGTGTTTGGAGAAAGAGCATGAGCTCAGGTTTGGACCTGCTAGGAACGAGGTGCCCTTGAGACCCCCACTATATTTCAATGGTCGGTTGGAGCATGGGTCTGGACCCAGAGAGATGCTTAGGTTTGAGAACACGTTTCAGAGTCATCTGCGTATAAGGAGTCAGTGAGAGCTGGAGTGGACAAGGCCACTCAGGAATAGCCAGGCAACAGGGCCGGGAATCCTGTCCTTAATGCCCGGCTGGGGAGGAGAGCCCTTCAGAGGACACAGAGCAGGGGTCTCTGGAGGGAGGGACTGCGGGGAAGAAAACCGGCCTGGGGGGTACCTGGGAGCCAGGAGGGGAGGGTATTTCAAGAAGAAGGGAGTGTTAAACCACGCTGACCACTGCAAAGAGGCTCAAGAGTGACAAATGAGGCCTCAAGAACATTAGTTGGTTCTGGCAACACAGAGGACATTGTTGACCTTGTGGAAGCTGCTTCTATGGAGTGAGGGGGCAGCGATCAGACTGGGATGGGAGTGGGGGGCCGAGGGAATGGGACTGCAAACACGGACAGCCCTGTCCAAATGCTGGGAGAGGGAGCGGAGAAGTGCGGACAGGCGGACCAGAAGCGGCCATGGCACCAGTCGGGCTGAGCTGAGCTGTGCTGTGGTACCAGCCTTGGGCCACACGGTCCTCTGTGCCCTTCACTTTCTGTGGACACAGAGGCTCGATTCGATTCAGGGGTGAGGCCTTGGCAAGAACCTGCATAGGTGGGTGTGCCTCCCACGGCGGTACTCAGGGACGCCTTGGGTCCACCTGCTCCTTTTTGGTGGGGTCAAGACTGACCAGTGGTTCAGGGCTTCCCAGCCTGGCCCATCTGTGATAAAGTCCCCATCAGCTTCTCACCCATGACTTTGGTGGTCAATGGTTATCATGCCTAGTTCATTATGACGGGTTGTGACGTGATGACATCATCCCTTCTTTCTATTTTATACATGAGCTGGCATTTTCCTAAAGAGAGCTTCCCTTGGCAACTAGTTACTCTGAGAAATAGTTCATATAGGAAATGCACGACTGCTGGCCATTCTTTCCTTTTGTTTTAATATTTCTGGAATGATGAGGTGGTTTCCAGTATACTCATTGTTGACCAATGAGGTCTGAGCTCCACTGGGAACACATGGGTTTTTAGCACCTTTGCTCTCTTTCCATCTATTGAAATTTTCTGACATTCAAGGTATCTGCTGTCTGGCCTGAGTGGGAGCCCCTGCAAGCAGCCCCCATATTTTGTTTTCGTGGCTCTATGGTCTCTGATGGCTGCCCTTGTGTCTATAAGATGCTCCAGGCTCGTGTTGAATATGCTCTGACTCATACCTGGTGCCTTTGAGTGGGACATGGTATTTAGAGACCATGGGAGCAGAGAACTGAGAGGAGCCTGGGAATGGAGAGGAGGAAAAGGAAGATGTGAACACTGCCGTCTGCTACAGGAGTCTGGAGAAAGCAGCCGAAGAATAACGGGGCCGAGGGCACTGCAGATCCACTGGGAAGAACACAAGTTGTGTGGAAGAGGAGGGCTATGTGTGGTAGAGAGAAGGGGCATTCATCATGTAAGGTCCTCAGAAAGGAGAGGGGCTGGGGCCACACACAGGTGAGTTCAGTCTTGGCGGAAGCAGCAATCAATTCCTCTCACAACAGCAGGGAGGAAAGAGAGAGATGTGTGCTTGTCGCTTGGTCACAGGAAGATGAAGGACTTCCTGTAGCTTCTAGTTTTTCTGTAAAATTGGAGGTGAGGTCATTTCCTGAGAATAAAGTGACAGGAGAGCAGGGGAGAGGCTAGAGATTTGGGGAGGGAGACGTTTCTTAATGTCTCTTTAGAGAGTGGGAGGATTGGGCCAGGTGTGGTGGCTCACGCCTGTAATCCCAGCACTCTGGGGGGCCGAGGTGGGAGGATCATGAGGTCAGGAGTTCAAGACCAGCGTGAACAACATGGCGAAACCCTGTTTCTACTAAAAATACAAAAATTAGCCAGGTGTGGTGGCACGCACCTGTAATCCCAGCTACTCAGGAGGCTGAGGCAGGAGAATTGCTTGAACCTGGGAGGAGGAGGTTGCAGTGAGCAGAGATCATGCCATTGTACTCCAGCCTGGGTGATAGAGTGAGACTCCATCTCAAAAAAAAAAAAAAAAAAAAAAAGAGTGGGAAGGTAGGCTGGCCCCAGAAGCACAGAAGCACAGGCTGCTGGGCCATGGGGAGGAACCGTGCAACCATCCTTAGGAATTCACACTGAAACCAGTCGTCCCTTGGGGGTTGCTTTCTCTGGGCTAAGCTGCTCTGGTGCAGGTAGAAGAAGGCAGCGGCCTCCTGGTGTCTATGCCCTATAGAGCCCCTGCCCACACTGTGTGTAGTGGACATAGATAACCAACAGGATGTTTTGGAAATGACAGACTATGACTTCTGAAGCTCAGGCATCAAAGACACTGTGGGTTTCGCTTTCTGCTCACTTAGGTTATTCGCTCTGGGGGAAGGCAGCTGCCATGTCATGAGGACACTCAAATGGCTCTGTGGAGGTGTCCCTGTGGTGAGGAATCAAGTCTCCTGTCAACAGCCAGCACCAGCTTGCCAGCCCCTGTGTACACCATTTTGGAAGCAGGTCCCCATCCCCCGTCAAGCCTTCAGATGATGATAGTCAACATCTTGACTGAGTCAGAACCACCCAGCCATGCTGCTCTGGGATTCCCCACCCACAAAAGTGGCATGAGACCATAGTGTCTGCTGTTGTTGAAACTGCTAACTTTTGGGATGATCTGTTACACAGCAATAGGTAACTAACACTGATTGTGACCACAGAAAGACAGTGGTGCATGCAGTGTAGGGTGCTAGCAAGCATGCTATTGCAATGCAGTCTCCATGCTATTGCAACGCAGACTCCGCAGGCTCTGACTGGTGGGGTTGGGGAACTGAAGGAAGTGAGGAGGCTGATGGACTGAGGGAAGCAGAGGGAAGCTCAGTCCCTCCTGCACTGAGCACTGGAGGAGGGAGCCAGTGAAGGGGAGAGTGGCCAAACCAGGGGATGGCCGAACGAGGCAAGCTGGGCAGAGACAGAGGTTAGGATGTGGGGAGAAAGGTGTCTGAGAGCACAGCAGGAGAAGGTCACTGAGGATGAGCCAGTCAGGAAAAGAGGATGAGCCTGTCCAAAGGCCAGGCATTGGACAGATTGTCCAAGTGGACAAGAAACTCCTCCAGGAAGATGGGAGAGCTGGGATCAATGGGGAAGCCTGTGAGTCTCTTCAAATTCTTCAGTGAATGAGGAAGAGTGGCTAGGAGGTCAGGAGATGCAGCAACAAGAGTGGGAGTGGTGGGATGGCCTACTGATGTGAGCCTCAGAGGGGAAGGCTGGACTTAGGGAATTTGTTTTTGCATAAGGAGGAAGAGGACAAGTCTGAAAGAAAATTAAAGAACAAGTAGACTGACCCAATTTCCTGACTCTGGGATAAGGAGGATAGAGAAATTAAAGCCATTGTCAGCACCGTTGCCACCACCACCACCATGCCCATTGCCATTACTGCTAACGTTACTGTGTTAGGCCGTTCTTGTGTTGCTGTAAAGAAATACTTGAGGCTGGGTAACTTATAAATAAAAGAGGTTTAATTGGGTCACGGTTCTGCAGGCTGTACAAGCATGGTACCAACATCCGCTCGGTTTCTGGGGAGGCCTCAGGAAGCTTACAATCATAGCAGAAAGTGAAGTGGGAGCAGGCATATCACATGGTGAAAGCAGGAATGAGAGAGTGTGGGGGAGGTGCCACACACTTTTTAAACACGAGATCTTGTGGGAACTCTTTTACTATTACAAGGACAGCACCAAGTGGATGGTGCTAAGCTATTCATGAGAAATCTGCCCCCATGATCCAATCACTTCCCACCAGGCCCCACCTCCAACATTGAGAATTACATTTCAACATGAGATTTGGAGGGACAAATATCCAAATTATATCAGTTACCATCACCATTACAGCCATAACACATTATATTGGTGTCGGCAAAATCATTACCCTTACCATGAACATCAGCTTTACCACTAGCACAAGCACTACCAGCACCACCACTACCACCACCATCACCATAACCATGACTCCCACCATCACCATCATCACCATGAACACCACCTCCATCATTATTACAACCACCACCATCGCCACCACCATACCCATCACTATCACCATCACCACCTCCATCACCACCACCACCATCACCACCACCTCCGTCACAATCACCACCACTGTCACCATCACCACCTCCATCACCACCATGACCAACACAACCACCATGACTATCACCTTCACCACCACCACCGTCACCATAAACACCACCACCTCCATCATCACCATCCCCACCACCTCTAGCACCACCACCACCACCATCGCCGCCATCACCACCACCACCAGCACCACTATCATTACCACCACCACTATCATCACCATCCCCACCACCACCATCACCATCACCACCACCACCACTATCATCATCACCACTACCACCACCACCATCACCATTGCTACTATCACCATCACCATCACCATCCCCACCACCATCATCACCACCACCACCACCACCACTATCTTCATACCACAACCACCACCTCCATCACCACCCCCACCACCTCCAGCACCACCACCACCATCACCATCACCACAACCACTACCATCATCACTACCACCATCATCACCATCACCACCACCACCATCACCACCATCATCATCCCTACCACCTCCAGCACCACCAGCAGCACCACCACCACCATCATTGCCATCACCACCATCATCACCACTGCCACCATCATCATCACCATCCCCACCACCACTATCACGACCACCACCATCACCACCATCACCATCCCCATCACCTCCAGCACCACCACTACTGTCACCATCACCACCACCACCACCATCAGTAGCAGCAGCACCACCATCATCACCACCACCACCATCACCATCATCACCATCTCCACCACCACCATCATCACTATCCCCACCATTATCACCATCACCACCATCATTATCACCTTTAGTGTTAGCAACAGAGGACAGCAGGGGAGAGGTTAGAGATTTGGGGAGGGAGACATTTCTTAATGTCTCTTTAGAGAGTGGGAGGATTGGGCCGGGCGCGGTGGCTCACGCCTGTAATCCCAGCACTTTGGGGGGCCGAGGCCGGAGGATCATGAGGTCAAGGAGTTCAAGACCAGCGTGAACAACATGGCGAAACCCTGTCTCTACTAAAAATACAAAAATTAGCTGGGTGTGGTGGCACGCATCTGTAATCCCAGATACTCAGGGATTATCACCTTTAGTGTTAGCAACATCATCACCGCGTTATTATCACCTTTAGTGTTATTATCACCTTTTGTGTTAGCAACATCATCACCACTGCTACAGGCATCACTATCATTACTAACAGAAACCCATCACTGCCACTACTACTGTCACCTTCTGTATCGGCAAGATCAATATTGTTGCCTTACACATCAGTATCACCAGCATCACCTCAAACATCACCATGACCATGTCCATCACCATCAATGAGACTCTACCATCACCTCTGCCACCACCACCTTCTCTATCACCTCACATGCACCACCAGTACTTGGACCCCCACCTTGCCGGCCATCATTGCTCCCACCTTCAGGAAGCCACCATGGCCACCAGAAACATCCTCATTGCCACCCCTAGTGCCAGCATTGCCACCTCACGCCTACCACCACCTAATACCTAACCTCTACCACTTCCAGCCTCATTGGCACCATCACCACTACCAAGTCTGAATCACAGTGGCAGACTGTCAACTGCACCTCAACCAAGCGGGGGAAAAATTATGGCACATCCATGAAAAAATAAAAGAAAATGAAATCACACTGGCAGAGCTGCTAGATGTCTGCCGCAATATCCATCCCCCTTTTCTTCCTTAGAAACAGAATGCCAGAGTCTTCCATGGCACAGGGGTGCTGGGAATAGAGATCACATTTCTTAGGCTCCCTTGCAGTTAGGTGTGGCCATGGGACTAAGTTCTAGCTGAAGGGCTCTAAGTGAGAGTGTGAGGGACTTGCAAGAAATCTTAAGGAGGGCAGCCCCTTCCCTGCTGCGGCCCAGGCAGCCACCCCCTCTCGCCCACGTTACCACGATCACCGCCTAGCGGGTCTTTCTGCATCCTCCTTTGCCTCCTGACTCTATGCAGCAGCTAGTGTTCTGTGAAAATGTCAATTAGACCAGTTACTGCCTTATTCAAAACCGTCCAGCCAAGAATGAAATCCAAACTCCTTCTCCTAGGCACAACGTTCTGCCACCTCTTCATTCCCATCTCCCACCAGACTCCCTCTTGCTTGCTAATCCCTATGTGGCACTGCTTTTGAAGCCCCTAATGAACGACTCTCCTGCTCACCACAGGGCCCTTGCACATGCTGTTCCCTCTGCCCAGAATGTTCTTCAACCTCTAACTTCTATGGATTCTTTCAGCTTCTGCTAAAATATTCTTTGTTCCAGGAGCCCTGCCCTGACCCCCTAGCCAGGTGAGCATCTTGTATACTCTTGCTTCAAGGCCCTGTCCTTGTTTGTAACAATAAATCTGTGTGTTTCCATGTTGCATGCATCCTCCCTACCAGGTGGGGCTGCCCTGGGGGCAGGGTATGTTGGGGGACGGTTGGTGCCTTCTGTTTTCTCAGTACCAGAAACAGCACCAGGTACATGGAAATATTTGTTGAAAACAATGCATGGGTGAGGGAATTAATGCTGACCCCATGTCTAGATCTAGACTCCTGCCTCAGTTTCCTTCAGGGAAGTATTAAAGTTTTCCTTGCCTCAGTTTCCACATTTATAAAATGGGAATAACTATAGACCCTACTTATTGCGGTTGTTTGGAAGATATGAATAAGGGTTTAGAGCACTGTACGGCTGAAGGATCACATAAGTGCCTCCGATACTGTTTTTGTTTCCCTGCCCACTGGGTCTGTTTTAATGACACTGGGGCCTCTCTCACCTCCAGCCTGCTGGAATAGACATCGTCCCTGTCTCATCCTGTCAGCCTCTTTCCTGAGATCTGGACCTACTTCTGACTTCTTAGCTCCTGAAAGGTCCGGACGGTTTCCAACACCCTCCCTAGCAGATCATGCCCCTTGATGTGAACCTGGGCCTGGAGCACATCCAGGTTTGCCTTCAGTCCACCTCCAGCGGAGCCTCCAGTCCACCTCCAGGACAGCCTCCAGCCCACCTCCAGGGGAGCCCGGCTTCTCACTCCCCCACTGTTCTCTTAGGTCACCCCTGGTTCCCATCTAAACTCACCTGACTCCAGCATTTTGGCTGAAATGATACATTCAGCAATTTTTACTGAATGTTCAAATGTTATTTAATCACAACAAAACTTGCGTACTCTAAAACTTAAACAATACAGAGAAATTAAAAAACAAAATTAAATAATCACTCCCAAACCCCACTACCCAAAATAATCATCATGAACCTGAATGAGTGTAATTCCACATCCCTCTGGACCCCTAGATACCCAAGACCAAGAGAGGCCAAAAAATATGTAGCTGGAATCACTGGTGTAATAATGCATCATAGCATATGTGCAGTTTAACAGTGTGAAAAGGTTCCATTGAATCAGAGTTAAAAAAGCTTAGTGTGCCATAGGAGGAACTAATGTGCCATGGAATGTTGTGCTGGTCCACTCTGCTGCTGAAGCCGTGCTAAGCAGGCCCGGGAAGCAGTGTGGCATGCACCCTGGTTATCTTGGTAAGATGCATGGGGCTTGCTGTATCCGTGGGGACCTGAGGGATCCCAAGCTCTGGGGCAGGCTGTGAAATCTCTTTTGGGGAAAAGGAGAAGCTATTGCCCCTCACACCTTTTACCACAAAGAAAGAGGCACAGCATTTAGTGGGCCTTCTGGGACTGGGATGCAGCAGCTATCAGCCTTGGGGACACTGCTCTGCATTCATCAGGTAGCTCAAAGGCTACACATTTTGAGTGGGCCCCAGAGCAAGACAGGCCCCGGCAGAAGGCTCTGACTGTGGTCAATCTGCCCTGAGGCCTGGCCACACAATGTGATGGCAACAGACACGCCTTCGTGCGGGATCTCCGGCCAGTTCTGGTAGGAAGTTGCTTAGAGTCCTGCAGCGAGGGCGTGCTGTCCTAGAAGGAGCTCCTGGAATGCTGCTGGGCCCTGCAGAGCCTGGGACATCCAGTGACCCTGTGACAGCAAGCAGCTGGCTGTGATCAGATCCACTGAGTCCTGAGGTGGCTGGATGGCTGGCACAGTGGCCACCCATTGTGTGACAGAAGGCGGAGGCGCTCAGGTCCAGACCTGAGCAGGTCTGCGGAGGAGGCCCAGACTCCCTGTCACCCATCTCTGTTGCGCTGACACCTATTCCTGGGCTCACCTATGGCTTCATGGGAGGGTCCCCTAAGGCCACCTGATAGAATTAAAAATGAAGGCCTGGCCCACAGACGGGTCTGCAACCAAATATGGACCCCCATGCTGTTCTACAGTTCCCAGGAGCGCCCCTGTAGAGGAGCAGTGCTTCGGGCAGCCCTGTAAGCAGTGCCCTCAATGGCTCCAGCTGTAGGGAGAGACCCTGACCTGAGGAGGGAGTGGCATGAACTTGTGTGGCCAGGCTGGCTGGCCATGGACCCAGAAGGAGCGAGCTTGGGAGATCTGAGGCCAGGAGGTCTGGGGTTAAAGGACAGGTTGGGCACAAAGTGTGTGCATCTACCACAGACAGATGTGACAACCAGGGGAGCCTGACCTGGTCAGTGGCCGCCAGTCAGCCTGTGTCCTTGGCCACTCCAGCGCTTGCACAAGCGGTTTATGAACAGAGGCACCAGGAGGGCAAGAGTGGAGCCATCGGTCTCCGCTACTGTTGCTGGGAAATAAGCAATCACAGTGGCAGAGACAGATGCTGAGTCGGTGATTGGAGACATCCCTTGAGACTGACAGCTACTCAATGGTAGGTTGGTTACTTTGGACCCTGCCCCCCATGGAGGGGCAGCAGCTCGCATGTGCACCCACCCTGGTTTGCCTTCTGGCTGCAGAGCCTCCACTGACATCCCCTTCCCAGGGCTCATGGGGATCTGGTGGCAACATTTCTCCAGCAGGGCAGGAGGCTTCTCAATCAGTTTCCCATCAGAACCGAACACACAGAAAATGATTCGAGTGATGACTTTCTCAGTGTACCCCAGGATGATACAGAATTGGTACCATACTAGATACCCAGGAGAGAAGTTAATCCACTATGTACAATGCAATCCTTAAGTTTAAAAGCTTACTCCTCAGGGAACCCTGGCATCCTGCACAATTGCCTTGGACTAGGGGACTGAGCTGCTGTAAGGAGGTGACAACAGGAATGTAAGAATGGGTGTCCTGACCTCACTTTATTTCACATTACTCAGAAGTGGCTGGTCTAAGAGGAGTGGCCCATGGGAGACTCAGCTCAGGTGCCCGCCTGACTAGCAGCCCGAGGGCTGGGGTCTTGTCCTGTGGGCGGCAGTGCATGCAATGAGCCCAGGCTGGGCCCCGGAACCGGAATACACACCTGGAGTTTGGGGAGGAGGCCCGCTCACCATCATTCCCTTTTGCAGAACACAGACTTCCTGCCCCACAATGTTTCGCTCTGCCAAATTAGCAGTCCTGGCTTGATGGTGGGATGGGACACATGACAAATATGCCACTGAACCTGAAGCCACAACCACAGCCCAGCAGTGAGCCTGCTTGTGAGGGTGATCAACTTGGCCACTGTGAGAAGACTACTGCTGCTGCCCAGGGTGGAGACATCTAAAACTCAGGGAAGGCTCTGGGGCTTCCCCTGGTCCTTCCGTACCTGGGGATAATGACAAGTGGGCAGCTGCAGCAACCTCAGCTGGAAAAGGGCAAGCCAACTGAGGTCTCAGAACCCCCAAGGAAGACCAGGCTACCCCACCAGGCAAATGTCCCAGAGCAGCTGACACACGGACCGCAGGTGGCGGCTTCCAGAAGAGGTGGTGAGGTGGGGGTGCTGCTGAGCATCAGTTCCAGCACTGAGACCAGGTGCAGCAGGAGGGACTGTGACCCATCCAATACTTGCGTATTAACATTGAACAAAGATCCAGGCTGGCCGCTACCTTGATTTAAGCTCTGGACACACAGGACTCAGTGATACCACAAGCAGGGCCGAGCTGGTCAGGGGTGGCGGGTGACCTTCAGCAACTACCTCTTTCAGTGTCTGTGTTTCGATGCTTTGACACCTGGGGCCTTGCTGAGCCTGGAGGGACCACCTCTCTCATGGTCGGCCAATCTATGGTGATGACATGACTCGCTCTGAGCTCACCTTTCAAATGCAAAACCACCCAACCCAATGTCCACACCCCAGCTACCTTCTTTTTTGGAATCTCACACTCCAGACCACCATCCCTCTGCCCTATCCCCGCAAGGGCCAGGACCAGACAACCAGGGGCAGCCCTGCGCCCCAGAGCCCCGAAATTATTCAAACAAATCAGCCCTACACCTGCTTACCCACCTCACCGTTAATTCCATGATGGAGGCTCCTGCCTTCTGGTCCTCTCTCCCTCTGCCTCCTGACCCACCCAGTGCCTCCCGGGCAGCCCCCTCCTCTAAGGAACTGTGAGTAATAAACTATCTTTTCAGCGGCAGTCGTTGCATGGTCTGTTGGCCTTGCTATACTTCAGATTTTCTGTTTCACATCCATTATTTTTAACCGTGGACTGCATCAGACACCTCTGTGCCCACTTCACATCCTCTTGACCTCCTGCTTGTCCCAGCCACGGTGCTGTCATGGTCTCTTCCATGTGGTCTTTGCACAGCTTTGCAACTCACTTCTTGCCAGAGCTGGCATGCTGTGAGGACTGCCTGTGGGAACTGCTTGGCACTCACACAGTGCAATCCAGAAGCACGAGGTCACTGGGTGGCCCAGTGGATGGATGGGAGCCTATGGCTGTGTGCCCCTCTGCCATCCCTGGGCCAGACAGCATTCAGCACCTCCCACAGGTTTCCACAGATGGCCCCTTGGGGTGGAGCACAGAACCCCACAGAGGTGGCCGGGTTGGCAGTGCCTCCTGCTGCTTTTCCTCCTTCCCTGCCTGGCTCCCCTGTGGCTCACTCACTCCTATCCCCTGGCATTGCTTCCCACCAAAACTTCCTGCACACAGACTCCTTTCTTCCAGGCAGTCCTTTCAGGGGGAGCTCAGGCTAAGGTGAGCCTTGGGTTGCCTTTCCCAAGGTCTGTGCTGAGAATGAAGGGAGATGGTGACGAGGGGAGCTAAGAGCTCCTTCCACCGGCATCCCTAGCTGGGGGTAGAGGGGGGCTCCTCCCTTGGTGAAGGGGAGAGGCATCTATAGGAAAAGAACTGAAGGCTGGCCATTGCTGGCTGTCTTCTATCCCTGGCCCAAATATTGGAGCAGCCCTGGGGCAGGGGAGCGAGAGCCCCTATGTGGATTGGAGGCACCCACCTGCCGCTGCCCCTGCTGGAGGTGTGACCTGAGGCTGAAGTGAGGAGGCAGGGCCAAGGGCAAGCCTCCGGTCTCCTCCTGCCCCACAGAGGCCTCATGCCCATTCTGGAGGCCAGAGCCCAGATGTGGAGACACCTGCTCCCCAACCGCCTGCAGTGCTCCAGGCACACGGCTGCAATCCTCTTAGCCTCTAGGGGGCTCTAGACTCCCTACCACACCTTCCCCAATACTTCCATGGGTCCTGAGGCTGAGGGGCTTTCTTCAGGGTGGAACAGCAGATCCAGTTAGGAAGGGCCCAAGTTTCAGTCCAGAACCACTGCTCCCGAGCTCTGATCTGTGCCTCAGTTTCCCCACCTGAAGAATGGAAATGACAAGGAGCAGTTCACAGGATGGGAAGGATGGCAGCAGAGAGGATAAGCTGGCTCCTGGGATGGGGCCTGGAGCCTGTCCCCTGGCAGGGGGTGTCTCCCTGCAGATGACAGAGAATGGGCTGCCTTTCCTTGCATGGAAGTCAGCACTGGGGTCAGGCTGGGCTGCAGCTGGGGGAACCTGGATGCCCCTGGGCACTGAGGGGGCACCTGAACTCTGAGCTGGGCCCAGGGCTGGGCCAGAGGCCTGCAGCAGGCCCCATGGTGGCCCAAATGCCAGGCTTTTGGGGGAGGTCATTTGTGGTTCAGCTCTTGGGTCCCATAAAGGAAGGCCCCGTGGGGAAGCGAGTTCTCTGTGAGCTTCAGTTCCTTTCTTTTCTTTTCTTTTTCTTTTTTTGTTTTATTTTTAAATTTTTTTATTTCAATAAGTTTTTGGGGGAACAAGTGGTGCTTGTTTTATTTCAATAGGGTTTGGGGGAACAAGTGGTTACATTAACAAGTTCTTTAGCAGTGATTTCTGAGATTTTGGGATTTTGGTGCGCCTATCACCTGAGTGGTGTACACTGTACCCAAAGTGTAATCTTTTATCCCTCACCACCCACCCTTTCCCCTGAGTCACCAAAGTCCAATGAATGGATCATTCTTATGCCTTTGCGTCCTCATAGCTTAGCACCCACACATGAGTGAGAACATACGATGTTTGGTTTTCCATTGCTGAGTTGCTTCACTTAGAATAATGGTCTCCAATTCCACCCAGGTTGCTGCGAATGTCATTATTTTGTTACTTTTTATGGCTGAGTAGTAGTCCATGGTATATATACACCACATTTTCTTTATCCACTTGTTGATTGATGGGCATTTAGATTGGTTCCATATTTTTGCAATTACAAATTGTGCTGTTATAAACATGTGTGTGCACGTATATTTTTTGTATAATGACTTCTTTTCCTCTGTGTAGATACCTAGGAGTGGGATTGCTGGATCAAATGGTAGATTTACTTTTAGTTCCATTCATGTCCTTAGCCCAGTTTTTGATGGGATTGTTTGTTTTTTCTTGCTGATTTGTTTGAGTTCTTTGTAGATTATGGATGTTAGTCCTTTGTCAGAGATACAGATTGTAAAGATTTTCTCCTACTTTATAGTTGTCTTAACAGACTCTGCTGATTATTTCTTTTTTGTTTTTTTGAGACGGAGTCTCGCTCTGTCGCCCAGGCTGGAGTGCAGTGGCGCGATCTAGGCTCACTACAAGCTCTGCCTCCTGGGTTCATGCCATTCTCCTGCCCCAGCCTCCTGAGTAGCTGGGACTACAGGTGCACACCACCACGCCTGTCTAATTTTTGTTGTATTTTTCAGTAGAGACAGGGTTTCACCATGTTAGCCAGGATGGTCTCGATCGCCTGACCTCGTGATCCGCCCACCTCAGCCTCCCAAAATGTTGGGATTACAGGCGTGAGCCACTGCGCCCAGCCTGATTATTTCTTTTGCTGTGCAGAAGCTTTTCAGTTTAATTAGGTCCCATCTATTTATCTTTGTTTTTGTTGCATTTGCTTTTGGGTTCTTGGTCATGAAGGCTTTGCCTAAGCCAATGTCTAGAAGGGTTTTTCCGATGTTATCTTCTGGAATCTTTATGGTTTCAGGTCTTAGATTTAAGTATTTGAGCCATCTTGAGTTGATTTTTGTATAAGGTGAGAGATGAGGATCCAGTTTCATTCTACATGTGGCTTGCCAATTATCCCAGCACCATTTATTGAATAGGGTTTCCTTTCTCCACTTTATGTTTTTGTTTGTTTTGTCAAAGATCAGTTGGCTGTAAGTATTTGGCTTTATTTCTGGGTTCTCTATTCTGTTCCATTGGTCTATGTGACTATTTTTATACCAGTACCATGCTGCTTTGGTGACTATGACCTTATAGTATAGTTTGAAGTTGAGTAATGTGATGGCTCCGGATTTGTTGTTTTTGATTCTGAGTCAGTTTCTTCATCTGTAAATGGGATGGCTCCAGCTGCCCTGTAGGGCTGTGAGAGTCCTGAGGTTTACTGATCCGATCCTGGCAGGAGACGTAGTCTGCAAACTAGGGGAAAGGGCTTAATGAGCTGGCCACTTACAGATGCTGCTTAAGGGATGGTGACAGTACAGAGAGCAGGAAGCCACCATTCCTGCCTCTAGGGAGTGGGAGCAGGGCTGTTACTGGAGCTCTCCCAAGCTGCAGCCCAGGAGAGGGCCACCCTCCCACCACAGTGGGGACTGTGGCTCTTAGTCAGGACATGGCCAGCCTCAACCCAGGAGATGCTGGATGAGTAGTTCTGGCCACTCTCTCCTTCCACCCTTCCAGTCTTCAGCTGGTGTCCCCATTGGTGAACCAGACCAGAGGCAAGGGCAAGGGGACCGTGGCAGCAGAGCACACAGGGCATGGAGAGGGATGGCTGTGGTCGTGGAGGAGGAAACAGAATGTTCAGTATAGTAAGTGAATTGCTGGCAGCCTGGGAGGCTGAGTTGTGCTCTGCCCTGGGTCCCTGGGGCTATAGCACCTATGAGAGAGACTTGCTCTCTGAACCCCTGGCCTGAGGCTGGCAGGAACCACCAGGCAGAGGGCACCCCACTGATGAGGGACGGAGGTGGTATAGGCCTGAGGCTGTACTAAGTGCTGGCAGCATGGTTTTTGTGACTGGGTCTGTGAGAACCAAGCCCATGAGGGAAGCTGGCCCAGCCAGGCCCTGGGAGCGTCTGGAATGTCAGACAGAGACAGAGAAACCAAGACGGTGCCTACCTGCAACCCAGAATCCTCAACAACCTCACACCCAGGCAGCCCCAGGTCATGCTGTCTCTGGGCTTTAGAGCCTCATCAGGGGCTGGTAAAAACTCTTCCTTGCAGCACCCCCTCAAGTGCTGGGCCACCTTGGACCTGTAACACCTCTCCCCAGGATCACCTCTTTCTGTGCCACCTCACCGCAGGCAGTGACGGGAGGTTCCTAGAGGATACCTGGGTGCCTGGCCCCCAAAATCTGGTGACAGAGGCTGGGACAAGACAGGGGCAGCTCCTAACCCCACCTGTGAATCAGGCTGGGCCAGGGCTATCCTGTCTTTGTCCCGCTTGGGTCTCCTGCCCAGCCTGGCCAATCTGCACAGACCTTATCTCGGCCATCCATCCAGGCCACCTGGACTAACCAGTCCTGCCAGAAACTGGATCTGGCCACAAATGCCCCTCCCTGGGGGAGAGGGCAGTGAGACAAGCCCCCCACCTTCCACTGGCCTTTCCTGCTGGCTGAGCCAGAGGGGCAGGGCCCAGGGGTAGAGGAGTTGGGCCTCTGGGCTCTCCTCCCCTCCCCCGCCCTCTCCTGTGACAGGCAAGGCTGGGTCTAAGCTGAGAATGACGCATGGCCCAACAGACAGACTGAGCCATGTCCCTCTCCTACCCAGTTGCTCAGCTGCCAGGGAGTCACAGCCAGGGCCAGGAAGGGAGGGATCGCTGCAGAGAGTCGAGGAGCCACGCAGTGAGCTCCCAGGACCAATTTTTCTTTGTTCAAGAGGGAAACTGAGGCCCAGAGAGGCTCTTCTTTATTTGTAAAGCTGTTTAATAATCCATCATATGGGACCACCAACTTTTTCCTTTATATAAATTGTCTCTTGTGTGCCTAAAGGTAAGCATTCTACCCATGTAGTCTTATGTCTTCCTCAGACGGCCCTGGAGGGGTTGGGTATTGCCATTATTCCCACCTTACAGATGAGGAAACTGAAGTTCAGAGAGGTTAGGACAGTTGCCCAGAATCACACAGCTGGGCTGAGATTGGAACTCTCATCCACTTGCAAAGCTGTGCTCTTGGGGTGGCTTCCAGGTTTCCCCATGACATAACTGGGTCTTCTTTGTCCACTCATCTTATTCGTGCCCTTTAAAGATAAATTCAGCCTGGGCAACATAGTGAGACCCCATCTTTCCAAAAAAATTTAAAAAGTAGCTGGGTGTGTTGGTGCACACCTGTGGTTGCACTATTTGAGGGATGCTGAGGCAGGAGGATTGCTTGAGTCCGGAGGTCAAGGCTGCAGTGAGCTGCGATCGTGCTACTGCACTCCAGCCTGGGTGGCAGAGCGAGACCCTGTCTCAATAAATAAATAAATTTTAAAAAATGAAGATAAATTATTCGAGGTAAGTCACTGGATCAAAGCTTCCGCAGAATTTTGAGTGTCATATTGACAAACTGCACGCCAGAAGCAGGGTCCATGGGGGCTCCACCTGTCCCACAGCTGCCCGGCACTGCTTGTTGTCAGTATTCTTGCCTTTTACTCCAGAAATGAGGAATGATACCATGTGATTCCATGCGCATAACCTAGACTTGAGGCATCTCGTCTGTGTTGGCCATTTCTGTACCTTCTGGCGTGAATCCCAATCCTCTGTTCTTTGCAGGAGAAGACAAGGGTTGGGAGGCCACAGGTTCCTACTGCTCTCTGGCCTCAGGCTACTCACCTGCAAAATAAAGAGAGAGGGTGCTCCTGGGATGATACTAGCAGCTGACCCTGGCAGGGGACACCAGCTCCTCCGGCCTGATTCCAGCTGCAGGAATGTTTCTCCTCCCAGGTCTTGCCCCAGGCCTGACTCCTGACACTAGGCAGTAAATAACTTTCCATTTGGTCACCCCTGTTTTGGAGAATCTTTTGCTCTGGAGAAAGTGGGCGTGTGCCCCAGTCAAGCCCCACCCCAGTTACCTAGGAGGAGACAGGACCTTAGGGTTGGGTCAGGATGGGTGGGAGAGGGGTAGGTCTGGGAGGGTGGGGATCCTGGCATCCTAAGCATGAGTGTCATTGCCCACGAGGGCCCTGAGCTGCGGGCATCCACATCCCCAGGCCACATCGCTGCATGTGAGGCCAGACGTATCATCCCAAGGCCACCACACCAGGTGGCTGCAAGGCCGGTGGGACAAACCTGGCTCCTGCCTCCTCCTAAGCCCACCAGTCCTCTCTGCCCTGGAGCAGCGCTCATAGTACAGATGGGAAGACTGAGGCAGGAATGGGCAGCGATTGGGTCCCAGCCACCCACAGTGGGTACAGAGGTCTGGCTGGCCTAGGACCAGTTGGGAGGGATGGGGCTGCCCCCCACATGTGCCCCACACCCTTGGCAGCGGCAAATCCCAGCCCCTGCTCCAGGGCTCCAGGTGTGTGGACAGCAGGTTCCTTTGCAGGGAGTGCGAGCAAGAACACAGGCCAGGGACGCCCAGCGACTGGAGTGGGTCACCTGGCGCCGGGGGGAGGGAGGAGCGGGTCCCAGGGCAAGGACGACGCGGTCTTCACGGGAGCCTCGGCATGATGTGGGAGCGGAGTTGTCCCCCACCCCCCAGGTCAGCTGCCCGAGCGCCGCCGGGCGAGGCCGGCCGCCAGCGGGCCATCTGCATGACAAAGGCGCGCCCCGGCGGTGCGAGCGGGAGAGGGGCGCCCCGAGCTCCGCCCGCCCGCAGGCCCGCAGCTGCCCTGCTAAGCCTCCACCCCGCGGCCCGGAGATTTGGGGGGCGGGGGCGGCACGCGAGCCCGGGCGCTCAGCTGTGTTTGCTCGGGGGGGAGCCAGGCGGGGCGGCGGGGCTGGGGCGCGGGACAAAGGCCCGGATCTGACCGACCCCGCAGGTGGCGCGGGGGAGGGGGCGGACGCTCCGGGAGAGGGCGATGGGGGAGGGGCGGCCTCCCGGCTGCCCAACCCCAGCGCCCAGAAGCTGAGACCCCCTCGGGGGGCCGCAGTCCCCGAAACCTGGCCTGGGGATCACCTGGGTCCTCCTCCAGGCCCCCGGCCCTTTCCTGGAATTCCAAATGTTCAGCAAATGCGGCCACCGTCCGGGCGGGCTGCTTGATTTGTCCTCAGCTCCAACAACACTTTCTCCCTGGTGCCTCCTCCAGTGCCAGCAGGGGTGCCCAACGCCATGTCCCCGGACCACCCTCTCCTGGGAGCCTCTCTCTTCACTTTCCCGCATGTCCAGGGAGCCAGCTGGCCTTCCCAGCCCCACATTCACCGCAACCAGCCCCTTCGCCTTTCCCGCTCCAGGAAACAGTCCCTCCACACTCCCGCTGCCCAGGCCAAACCCGCAGGCACCGGCCTCCACGCCTCTCTCTCCGCTGGCTCCACCTTGGACGTCTCCCCAGAGGCGTCTCCCCCTCCCAGTTCCGGCCGCTGGTCCCGCCGCCATCGTGCTCACCTGGACCAGTGAGCACCCTCCCTCCTGTACGCGGCTCTATCCCGCTGCAGCCCATTCTCCTGCAGCAGCCGGAGGGTCTGTTAAAGCCAAGTCAGAGATCCTCCCTCCTCTGCTCCACACTCTCCCTTGGCTCCCACCTCACTCACAGGAAAAGCTCACCCCGCAGTGGGCTCCAGGACCACCTGATCTCACGACTGCCACCTCCCCCATCTCTGGCCTGTCTTTCCACTCAGCCTCCCCAGTCTCCTTGGTTTCTCCTTGGGCGGCCAGGCCTCCGGCCTCTGCATGGCCGCTACCTCTGCTTGGAACACACTTCACGGGACATCTGTGTGCCTCACTCCCGCGCTTCCTTCAGGCCTTTACTGAAATGCCGCCTCCTCAGTGAGGCCCTCCTTGGTTTAAAATGTCAGCATGCCTTCTTCAACTCCTTTTGCCTTGCTGTCTGCCCTAGTTTTTCTCCTCGGCACTTCTTCCTATTGGCATTTCTGCACGTGGTACTCATTCCCGTTGCTCATTTTGTTTTTTGTCTTTCCCATTGACTGTAAGATGCACCAGGGCAGAGACTGTCTCCTGTTGGCTGTTGTGACCCCCAAACCTAGCATGGTCCCTGGAACACAGTAGATGCTCAGTAAATATGTGCTGGATAAATGAGTAAATTAAATCCTTTACGCCTCCACAGCACCCTGTAAGGTAGGCCCTCTGTAAGGTAGACACCCTCCTCCCCATTCTACAGATGACAGTGCTGAGGCACAGAGAGTAAGTCACTTGCCTGGGTCTCATGGCTAGAAAGTGTGGGAGGCCGGATTTGAATCCAGGACCTCACTTCCCAGTAAGGTCTCAAACTAGTGGCCCACACACTGTTTTTGGCTCTCAGAAAGGTTTTGTGTGGCTCGAACAGTTTCAGAAAAAATTGAATAAACTGTGGCCATTTAAAAATCAGGAGGCCAGGCATGGTGGCTTACGCCTGCAATCCCAGCACTTTGAGAGGCTGAGGCAGGAGGATTGCTTGAAGCCAGGAGTTTGAAACCTGGGCAACATAATGAGACGTCCCCCACCCCCACCTCTACAAGAAATAAATATAAGACTGGCATGATGGTACATGTCTGTAATCTCAGCTATTTGGGAGGCTGAGGCAGGAGGATCACTTGGGCCCAGGAGTTTGAGGCTGCACTGAGCTAAGATTGCACCACTGTACTCCAGCCTGGGCAACAGATTGAGACTTCATTTCTAAAACACAACAAAACAAAAAAATCAGGATGCTTTATGCAAAATTCCAGACCTCCAGCTTTCCTTGCAAAATCGGAACCTCTGGCCACACCGTGTCCCCAATCCCACAAGGCAGCCACTGGCAGGGGCTGAGTGGCACTGCTCCTCAGGACTGGCATGGACTGCCTTCATGCCCAGTCTCCACCCCACTGCTCCTGCCCCTGCCCCAGGCCTCCCTCCCGTGAGCGTGAGCATTCTGTGCCTCTGCTCTTGCTGTTCCCTCCGCCTGGAATCCTCTTTCCACAGTTCTTGGCCTGGCTGTCCCCTTCTTGTCACTCAAGGCTTAGCCCCTCCGGAAGCCCTCCGTGCCCACTTTGGCTAAGGATCATGATCTGAAGTCACTTTACGAGTGTATTTGGTGCCTGCACACTGTCTGTCTCCCTAAGGAGGATGGCAGCTCCAGTCGGCAGGAGCCAGTTCAGCCCATTGCTCCCGTCCAGGGCAGCACCTGTGCCCACACCAGGCTGCAGGCTTGTTGATTGACGGAATGAATGAGCCGATGAATGAATGAAGAACTTGCGGGTGGCAGCCGCTGTTGTGAGCACTTCCCATGCCTGGAGCACTGTCCTCTGTGCACAGCAGGCTTCTGTGCGAGCTGGGGCTGGGTCACACACAGATCTCTTGCCGGGGATTCAAGCTGTGGTGGCTTCTGTGTTCCCAGCCAGGGCCTCAGGCTCTGTGACAACCTTGAGAGGCATGGGCAACCCTATCCCCCACTCCAGTGCCCAGCTCTCGCTGCAGATCTGGGGCTCTGAGTCTTCCGGGTCAGCTGAGCTGGGCCACATGAGGGTCACCTTCCTGGTGTTGCAGGGGCAGCCCTGCCCCCTACTTGCCCAGAACGTCCCCCAGGTTTCAGAAGGAGATAGCTGTGTGAACTGGCAGTGTGCAGGCTGATTCCAGGCCCAGCTCCTTCTGTTTCTTGCTGTGTGACTTGATCAATTTATCTCACCTCTCTGAGCCAGTTTCCCCTTCTATACAGCGGGAACACTGCCCCTGCTTGAGACTTACTGTGAGAGCTCCTGTGCACACCCCCAGCGCCAGTGCCCAGCGGGCACTCAGCACACAGGACACGGTCTGGCCTCCCCTCTGGCTGCCCAGGTGGAAGGCCTCCCCATGACATCACTCCTGCACAGGGGCACCAGCAGCCAAGGGCCTGGGGTCTGTACCAGCCGGCTGGTGGCGGCCCTGTGTGCACACTCATGTGTATGGTCTTGGGTGAGGGTGTGACCATGTGGATTGTGTGTGTGCATGTGGCTACTTGTGACTGTGTGTGAGTGCCCACACATAGGATCACGTGTGTTGTGTGAGCCTGTGGTTGGGGATGGCTGCTGCCCGGGCATTGGCTCTGTGTCACGGCTTGTCCGTAACTCTGTGTCCCGGTGTGTGATGGTGATGGTGTGGTTGTGGGTGAGACACTGGACGAGGTCAGGGCCAGGTACCCGAGTGGTCCAGCCAGTCCTCGGCAGCTGGGTGGGCTGGGTGGGAACACGCTCGCCTGGCTCTTCAGGCAGCCCTCAGGTGGGGAGTGCACTGGGCCCCAGCTGACCCGGGCTGGCTGGGCAGTCTGAGCCAGAAGGGGCCGGTTGACAGGGTTTCGGGAGGCCACTGCACCCCGGGCCATCTGTTCTCAGGACCTGCTCTGCTGGTCATGCTCTGGGTCCCAGGGCCCGGGATGGGGGCAGGAGGCTGCCTTGCTTATTGCAGCCCTGGGAGCCCCTCTTCTGACGATGTGTCAGATACAGCGTCCTGCGTGTGGCCTCCCCGCTCACCCTGCCTCCACCGCGTGCCCTCACTGTCTGCCCAGCCTCCTCCCAGTAGCACTATGTTCTGCACCCATCTGGCTGTGAGATGAGGGCAGGGACCCCTTCACCACCCATATCACGAGGACACAGGGCCCAATATGTTCATCCAGCACAGACCCAGTTCCCTGGGGTTTGTCGATGGAACGAGTCAGCTGGAGGTGGTGGCTGCTTCCACCCCTGGCCAGGTCGGCCTCACTGCTGGCCCCTGTCGCTGGGGGAATCGACAGCTCCCTCCCCCAGCTTTCCAAGGACCTCAGCGGGAAGCACAGACCCTCCCAGGGACCTCCACTTTTCCCTGCCAAGACTCCAGGCTCTGTGGTGGGTCTGGCTTGTACCCCCTCCCACACAGTTCCCCAAGGCCTCAGGCCCCCCAAGTGGAGAGACACCTGGCAACCTGGACCTGTTGGAGAAAACTAAGCCTCCGTAGGGACTCAGTTTCCCTGCTGGACTGGCTGGGGCTGCTTGCCTGGGGAAGCTTCCCTTGGTCTATCTCGGGTTCAGAAGAGGGCTTGGCTTGCCAGGGCAGGGGCAAGGCAGAAGCCCCCAGGACCCCTGCCTGCTCCTCAGGTCCAGGAGGAAACCTGCGAGTGAAAGCAGACTTAGTGGGGAAACACACCCAGCCCCAGGAGGCTGCCCACCTGGCGGGCCTCGGGGTCCTGAGCCTGCGACAGAGGTGCAGAGACAGAACCAACAGGTTAGGACAGGGAGAGAGAGAAGCAACAGACACACACATCACACACTCTGGGGCAGGGGTCATGCACCGGGGCCAGGCAGCTCCCCAGGTTTCTTGGATCTGGACTTAGAATGCCAATTGTTAATGCCAAGCCCAGAATGGCTCTGGTTGTCAATTCCCAAATGGTGTATATGTGACTGTGACTTTGTGTGTGTGCACATGCATGCGTGAAGGTACGTGAGGCTCATGGGTCTGGTGGGCATGTTTGCAGAGCCTGGCCGGTGTGTGTTATGGACGAGGGACGGAGATTGCCACCTGCCTCTAGCGTGTGTCTGTATGCATGGGAGGCAGCCTGCTGGCCTCTGTGACCGTGCCCCAGTGTCCCTGGGCAAAAGTGTGTGTGATGTGTGGCCTCCCTCAGTGGCACTGCCAGAGCCAGGCTGGGAGCTTCAGTGGAGGACCTGCCCTCAGGGCCCCTAAGTACCCCTGACCCTGGCCCTGGCCTCAGACCTGGACCCCGAGCAGGAGCCCTGGCTGGCCCACATGGGGGCTTTTGTCCATTTCTGAAGTGACAAGAGACACACAAAAGGGCTTTTAATTAAATCAAAGAAGGGGGAAACGGGCCAGCCGGGCCGCTATTATGTTACCAAACGCGAAAATGAAAACTTATTTTTAAAGCTCTGGTATTAATTTGAGATTATTCAGATAGTTAATTAAAAGTGCAGCATGTGTTAAATATTATTTCAACAAAGATTATCATCAGGCCTCCATGTAATGTGATCCTTGGGCTTGGGAGCTTTATGCAAATGGCTGCAGCCAGGAGGAAGGGCCCTCAACAGAAGGGTGGCAGGCAGGCGCAGGGAGGGCAGGAGCTCCGCGTAGGCCCACTCACTCCCCTCGGGTCTGGCTCCCCCAGACACAGATGGAGTCTCAGCCAGGGCCCCCTTTCCAAGCCCTAGGTGAGTAGGGGCCTGACTGTCTGGCGGGTCTCGAGCCCACCAGCCAGTCAGCAGCAGGGCCCCATACAGTCTTCTGGATGGCACTGTGGGCCATGAGGGAGGCTGGCCACACTGCCTGCCTCGAAGACCAGCACACCTGTAGGTGTGTGTGCATGGGCGTGAGCAGGGGGTCTGGGAACAGCAGTGTGGATGTGTGTGCTCCTGACGCTGTCACAAGACTGGGTGTGCACAGGTGACGCTTGTGTATGAGCTGGGAGGCTGGCAGCGTGTTTGTGTTCAGGGTCTCTCCATCTTACCCGTGGACTCTGGCACTGACAGTCTGGGCCCCTGCATGTGTTATGAATATTTGTGTGTGGTACACATGGGCATGGGGTGGGCACTGCTGGGTGTGTGCCCATAACCCACCCTGAGCAAGTCACATCACTGCTCAGCGCCTCAGCTTCCCCGTTTGTAGAATGGGATAGGTAATAACAGTAAACGCCTCACTGGGAGAGTTGGACGGGATTACATGGGATAACACAGACATCCAACTTAGGCCTGTCCTGTAGAGACAGAACACAAGCGGCAGGTGAGAGCCATCTACCTAATTTTATATCTTAGCCACAATTTTAAAAAGAAAAAATGAAATTAATTTTCATATTTTATTTAACCCAGTAGATCCAAAATATTACTATTTCAGCTCAATACAAAAGGTGATAAGTGTGATTGTTTAGTCTCTCTTTGTCACAGAAGGCCTTTGGAAGCTGGGGTGTACTGGGCCCTGGGTATATCTCATCTTGGACGGCCACATCACCGGTGCTCAGAGCCACGTGGGGACGTGGCGGCCTTTGAGCCTAAGGCCCTGCCCCCCAGGCCGGCTCTTCGCAGACCCGGGGCCAGCGCTCTCCCGGAGAGACTCCCGGGGCACCTCGCTGGATGGCGGGGACTGGCGGGGTAGGGGTGGGGTAGCCCGGAGACGGGTGGGCCCAGGATCCCTCGCTAACCTCCTCCCCCACACCGTGCACTGGGTCCGTGTCCCTAGGTCGTGCGTCCCAGACAGTCCGACAGGTGTTTGCCGCAGTCCTGAGACCACATTCGGGCTCCCGCCCGCGCTGCGCCTCGCCGGGGCCGCCCCTGCCAGCCCTGCCGTGCGCTCTCGGCCGCTGGGCGCGGGCCGCTCCTGCCCTCTGTCGGCGCCTGGCGGCAGCGCAGTCCCGCGGCGGGCCGAGGAGGGGGCCTGGCTGGCTACGGCCCTTCGGGGCGGAATGGGTGCGTGCCCACCCCACCGTGCAAGGGCCCCACCGTTCCAGGACATTTTCACACCTCATCCCACAGGATGCTTACGGCGGGCTGCGAGGCCAGCAGCGCCAGCCCGGTTTTACAGACGGGAAAGCGGAAGCTCAGAGAGGACCTGTGACCTGCCCAGGGCCACACAGCAGGACTGCAGGCAGGGATTCGAGCTGAGGTGGGAATCCAGGTGTTCAGCGCACTTCCATGAGTCCCGCCGGGTTCAAGTGCTGGCTCTGCCCCGCGTGGCCTGTGCAGCGAGACAGGTGACAACCTCTCTGAACCTGAGTGGCTCTGCTGTAAGCTGGGGGCGACAGTAGCCCCTCCTGCGTAGGACTGCTGTGAGGATTGAACAGGGGATGACTGTAAGGTTTCTAGCAGGTCCCTGGAACTCAGCATTCATCCAAAAAGTCGCTGAGTCACAGCATAATAACACGATTCACCTACCTCGGGGCCTTGGCACCTGCTGGGCCCCCGCCTGGAAACCCTTCCCCCGGATCTTGGATGGGATGGCCCCTCTGCCTTAATCTCGGTTCAAACTCACCTCAGCAAGGCCCGCCCCAGTCACCCTGTTAGCATTGCCCTAATTCATGCCCTTGGAGCCCTTGCCAACAGCCAGATGGTCCCGCGTGTCCCCAGGCTGCCTGGTTTCTTGCCTGCTGCCCACAGGACAGGAGGGCCCAGGAGGGCCCAGGAGGGCAGAGCTCGTTCATCCTGGCCATTTCCGTCACTGGGAGCACCGCGCCTGGCCTGGGTGGGTGCCCGATGGGAATGTGTTGAGTGAAAGGTAAAATGCCCAGTCAGGCGGGAATGCAGACAGCAGCTGGGGTGGGAAACCGCGTGGCAGTAAAACACACGCCACACAACACAGACCTTCCACGGTGAGGTGTTTACTTATGGGAGAGAAGCACCGATGCTCACACAAAACCCCACAAGAGTGTTCGGAGCAGCTTTAGTCACAGTCACCCCAAACTGGAAGCAGCCCGAGTGTCCTTCCGCAGGTGAATCCATCCGCTCGTCCACAGCCACACCTCGGGGCCCTGCTCAGTGACCCAAGGAGCTGCTGGGACGTGCAGCCACAAGCATGAATCCCAAGGCCAGGAAGCCTTGCTGGAAAGTCCACACACAGTGTGATCCCACTCATGTGACATTCTAGAAAGTGTAAAACAACAGTGATGGAAAAGAGATGAGTGAATGCTGGGGCCGGGTGTGCGAGGGGTGCTTTCACAGGGGCATGAAGCATGGGGGTGCACCTGTTCTCTCTTTTGACTCAGGTAGGGGTTACACAACTGAATGTGTTTTTCAAAACGCACAGAGCTACATGTTTAAAGGGGTGATTTTTACTGTATGTGACAAACAACAATTTTAAAAACCAGTCACAGAGTCGCAGACTCTCAGAATCATGGAGTTGACCAGTCCTACCTGCTTGGTGAGAGGCCCTGACCACCCCGCCACTGCCTCCCTGAGAAAGACCACTTCCGCCGCAGTCTCCACCTTAGACTGAACGAGCTTTAGAACTGGCCCACAGAAGATGAGAGGAGTGGGGGAGGAGATTGGGGTGGGGCGGGAGACACGGTCCCGGAGGTTGTTACTTCCATTCACTTTGTTGCGTGCGTCAGTAGTTTGTTGTGGTGGGTATGGACACATGGGGTTCACTGTATTATACTCCGCGCACTTTTCGTATGTTTGAACTATTTCCTTAATAAAAATGATAAATGGCTGGGTGCCGTGACTCATTCCTGTAATCCCAGCACTTTGAGAGGCCAAGGCAGGAAGATCACTTGAGGACAGGAGTTCACAAGCAGCCTGGGGAACATAGTGAGACCATGTCTCTACCAATAAAGAAAAAAAAATAGGCAGTATGATGGTGCATGCCTGTGTAGTCTTAGCTACTCAGGAGGCTGAGGCAGGAGGATCATGAGAGCCTAGGAGTTCGAGGCTGCAGTGAGCCATGATCACACCACTGCACTCCAACCTAGGTGACAGAGTGAGACTGCCTAAAACAAAGCAAAACAAAACAAAACAAAAACCCAAAACACCCCCAAACCAGATAAGTAATACAATAATTAAAAACAACAATAAAGTGAATTCCACCATAGAACCCCACTGGCCTCTTCTGCAGCCCTGGGAAGCAGGTTACTTTCTGCCCATTGAGGAGAAGAGCAGACTGAGGCTTGGGGAGGCACCCAGCCTGCTGGTGTAGGGAGCAGCCAGCAGCAGAAGCCAGGAGGCTGGTGGGTGCTTCCTGCAGCCTGCCAGAGGTGACTCTTGGGGCCAGGTGTCTTTGGGAATGGCTGCATTTCATCCCCCAGGAAGTGTGCGTGTGTGCACGTGCATGCATAGTGTGTGTGTGCGGGTGTGTGGTGTTTCTGGGTGTCGTTTCTGTGTCTCCCGCAGCTCCAGGTCACATTCTCCCCATCACCCCCCCAGGCAAAGGGCCTCTGTTCCCTACCCACCAAGGCTCTGGTGCTGAACCACCCGCTGCAAGGGTTGCCCCCAGGCATTGGCTGCAGGGCAGAGAGAATGGCCATGGAGCATTGACCAATTTTAAAAAACAATTTTATTGAGCTATAACTTACATGCTATAAAGTTCCCCCACTTAAAGTGTACAATTCCAAACTTCTGTATGTTTACAGAGTTGTACAACCATCACTACAATCTAAGTTTAGAACACCCTGTCCCCTGAAAAGAAACTGTCTCCACTGGCAGTCACTCCCCACTTCCTGCTCCCCCAGGCCTTGGCAAATCTACTTTCTGCATCTATAGGTTTGCCTCTTCTGGACATTTCACATAAATGGAATCACACATTATGTGGCCTTTCACGATTGGTTTCTTTCACTTAGTACAATGCCTTCATGGTCCATCCATGCTGCAGTGCATAGCAGTACTTCATTCCTCTTATTTATTTATTTATTTATTTATTGAGACAGGGTCTTGCTCTGTCACCCAGGCTGGAGTGCAGTGGTGCAATCATAGCTCACTGGGGCCTCTGGCTCCTGGCCTCAGGCGATCCTTTCACCTCAGCCTCCCATAGTGCTAGGATTTCAGACATGAGCCACTGCACCTGGCCTTCATTCCTTTTTAATTTTTATTAGATTATTGCCAAATAGTATTCCATTGCATGGGTAGATAGATATTTTGTGTATCCATTCATCAGTTGATAAACAGGGTTGCTTCCATTTTTTGGCAGTAACTTTATGTTAAACTTTTAAAGAAACACCCAAGCTGTTTTCCCAAGTGACTGCCATGAAGCATTTAATGAGCACCTGCTGTGTGCCCGTTTCCCTCTGACTGCTACCCAGAGAAGGTGGTCCTAATATTAATTTCATTTCGCTGAGGCACAGACAGGGTGAGACCCTTCCTGCAGGTCTCACTGGATCCCAGATCTGTTTGTGCTGCTAAAAGCAAAGCTGCCATGGTTGGTGTGGGCCTGGGAAAGGTCCTCTTGGTCACATGACCTCTGGGAGGGCTAGTAGCCTGCAGGTGGGGGCAGCATGACCTCTTCATTACCCAGTGCTCCCAGCAGGTCAGGTGGGCACACAAGGGGGACCTGAAGGAAGGCTCTGGTGACTGTCTGGGACCAGCCTGGGCTGGCTGTCCCTGGGGTAGGCAGGGACATCTGGGCTTCTGGTCTGAGTGGCAACTCTCCCACCCTCCCGGGCACCTCCTTGTCAGGGGACGGGATGTTTCAAGCTCCCTCTGGTCCCTGGCCTGGATCTGGCCCAAGCAAGGGTTGAGGAAACTTTGGTCCAATGATTGGTCAAGGGGATCAATAAACTAATGGGCCAGGGCCAGCCACGGAGAGCAGCCGGGGGGCCTCAAGGCCCGAGGAGTGAGAACGAGTTTCTCAGGGTCTGGCCCCTGTGTTGAGGCGTGGCCCTGCACACTTCCCTGCCTTCCTCTCGGGACCTCAACCCCCAGTACAAGGGCCCATGTGGGAAACCATACCCCAGAAGGCCAGGACCTGTGGCATTTCTAGCTGCCCTCGAGCCTTTCTGGACAGAAACACTGCCCTCCATCCCTCTGACCCCGGGGAGCCATGATCCCCCTGACAGAGCAGTGGGGCTCTTCAGAGAATCCGAGGCTCCATTCACTCCTGAACGTATGCAGGAGCCGCCCCATGCCAGGCTACCCAAGGCCTGCGCCCAGCTTTCTGGAGGTGACAGTCCTGCCCTGTTGGCACTGCTAGAGTTCTAGGGAGCCAGGGTTGGGGCTGAGATGCCAGCCTCAGAGCACTGGCCCAGGCTCTGCAGTTGCCCCAGGGCCATAGGGACAGGCAGATCTGTAGGTCTGGAGGCTGAACTGGGACCCCCCAGAGGGTTCAGAGATGGCTCTGGCTGAGCGCCCAGCACCGTGCTGGGCAACTTGGTCTTCACGACTGCCCCAGAGCTGCTGTTTTTTTCCACAAACCACCTGTATGAGAGAATTCTTGTGCCATCTGAAATGGAGTTATCAGTCGGCCGGGGGAGTGCGGAGGGAGCTCTCTGTCCCTGGAGGAGTGAGCAGAGGCTGCACTAGAGACACATGGCAGCCACTGGGCCCAGCCCAGCTCCAGGGTAACCGGGGCTGAGACCCTAATGTGGTCCCCTGGTCCTGGGCTTCCTGGTGCCCACAGGTCAGCCAGGCCAGAGGTGGGCCGAGGCTCAGGGGGCCCCTCAGTCCTGTGGCGATGGTGAGATAGGCCCAGGCCACCAGGCTGCCCGGAGGAATGCGCCCCCCCACCCCGCTCATAAACCTGCTCTTCCTCCTCCCTCTGTGCACCGGGAGGTCGTCCAGAGGTCACCTTCGGGAAAAGTCGGCACAAGAGGCTGAATGGGCAGCTCCAGGTGTTCACAACTATGGGGCTGTGGCACCAGCAGCTGACCTGGGAGGGCCACAGGTGCAGGGGTGCAGGGACAGACCCAGAGTCAGGTCCCGGAGACTGTGCACAGCCCAGAGCCCAAATCCCGGTTCTTGGGACCCCCCTTGAAGGCCCCACTCTGAGCTTGCACAGGCAAGATCTGAGGAGACTGCAGACGGAGGTGCCGCTTCCTCCTGACCCCCCTGTTCACACCTGACCCCCTCGTTCACGCTGGGATACCAGGGCAAGTGCAGGGTCGCCCCAGCTGGAGAGGCAGAGCCTCTGCTGCTGTGGGCAGGTCCAGCTTGCTCAGAGGTTGTGCAGGCTCCAGGCCTCTGAGCCCAGACTGGTAACCCTGCCCTGCCAGGGCCTCAACAGAGTGTGGGCCTGGAGGGGTGGCTGGTGAGGGGCCTTTGGCACACCTTGCTGGGGACAAGGCCCCGGGGACAAGGTGGGTGGCTAGAAATGCCACAGGACAAAGCCTGCCACGCTGGCTCCTGGGGCCCAGGATGGGGTGGGCTCATGGTCCCTCCTGGCCCTGGCCAGCCCTATGATGCTCCCAGGCTGGGCAAGGCCTCTGTGAGGCCTGAGAGCCTCCTTGTCCCGAGAGGTGGTGGGTCCGGATGGCAGGTCCCGGACAGGTGCAAGGGCCGCCGCTTCTGGAACCTGCATATGTTTCCAAGCCTGAGGTACCCCCAGAGGAGGGGGCACAGTGGGGCCTGGGCTGGAGGGGAGCACCCTGCTAGACTCCAGTGTGTATTTCCCAGCTCAGGGAGCCCAGCCAGGGTGGCAGGAGCAGGGGGCCCTGGAGGGAGGGAAGAGAAGTATTGGGGCCCCCACTTCTCCCCTCCGGTACTGTCCTGTCATCTTTCACTGGGGCTCTGCATATCAGACTCTGCTTCGGGAACTGGGGAGTCCTTCCCAGGAAAAGGAGCTGATGAGGCCTGCAAGGAAAGAAGGACGTGGAGGGCTCGTCAAAGGTGGTAGAGGCCTGATGGGCCTGGCCTCTCTCAGTCCCATCCAACTGCAGGGATCCCAGGCGTGGAGGCCTGTGTCTGAGCAGGGCGCCCACACCTCTGTGCCAGCCAAGGAGGCAGGTGGTCCAGGCTGTGCCCTCTCCTGGGAGGCTGTGGGCTCAGGCCCTGAGGGCGCCCCCAGCCCACCTGCCAGGGTTGAGCTTTCCTCCCAGCAGGGACCGTTCTCACATGTGCAGTGAGGAAGGAAATTGCAAATTAATCTTTATTTTCATCTTGGAAGAAAACCTTAATTCTCTGCATTGAAATGATCCTCGTCATCCGAGGGAATCAATTATGGGCTTTAATTGCAGTCAGTTCTGACCAATCCAAGCAGGCGGAGCCACGCGCGTGTGTGACAGCCTCCCTCTCCTGCTCTGCGCGGGGCCTCTCTGACTCTCTGTCTGTTTTCTCTTTGTTTCTCCCCCTCTACTTCTTTTTCTCTCTGTCTCTCTTTGTGTCTGTCCCTTTCACTCTTTCTTCCCGTCTCCATGTCTCTGCGCCTCTCACTGTCTCTGTCTCTCCTGGCCTTTCTCTGTGTTTCTGTTGCTCTCCCTTACTCTCACTGTCTCTGGGTCTTGGCTGTCCCCCCTCCCGCTGCGGCCATCACAGGACTCAGGAGTGAACTCCTAGGCATGACAAACCCCATGGGGGTGTCTGAACCCCAGGCCTCCTCCTGCAATCTGTCTCTGGCCCCAGAGCTACGGCTTTTGAGGGTGGGATCCAGGGCAGCCACAGAGATGTGTCGGGGCCTCACCACACAGGGCTAGTCTTTCATTAACTGACTAGAGACCTGGTCTCCAGGAAACAAGGGCTGGGTGGCTGTGAGCAAGGAGGTGCCGGTGTGGCTCTTATTCCTGCACACCTCTGGGCTGCACAGAACCTTTCCCTCGCTCACCTCCAGTTTGTGAATAATGCACAGATACAGTCTCTGAACAAAATGAAAACATAAGGCTGAGTGCCCTTTTCCCACCACTGCCCTTCCTAACCCCCCTTGCTGGCAGCTCCTGGTGGTCAGTTTGAAGCACATCCTTGCACGCCTTTCTCCATGTAGTTAAATATCCATGCCTGCATTCACAGAACACACAGTATCACTTTGTGGAGTTTCTGTTCAATGTAAACAGCATCATTCTGCACGTATCCTTTTGCAACTTTTTTCACCTGTTTTCAGGATTTATCCACAGGACACTCAGACTTCCTTCCTTTACCTATTGTTGAGTATTTCACTCTATGGCCACACAGCACTGTTTCAGTGTCCACACCACTACTGATGAACATTGCCATTTTTTTTCTCCTGTTTCAGGCAGGACTGCCACCAGCAGCCGTGCCCCACTTCTTTGTGCACACATGTGAGTGAGTGCTTGTGCTCATGGGGCCCATGCATTTTTAATTTAATAGACGTGGCAGCTGGCCCTCCAGAGTTGTTGTGTGAAGTCCACTCCTAATAGCATCAAATTCCCACTGCCCTCACTCTTCACCAACACTTGATATTATCAATCTTTAAAAATTTTTACCAGTTTGACCAATGCAAAATGGCACTTCCTTGTTGCTTTAATTTGTATGGGGATGAAGAGCATTACTGACTGGGATGGAGTCAGGGAGGGACATGTGATGTCCCCTAGTCTTGAGGGGATGGCACAGAGGGGCCCAGAGAGCAGGGGCAGAGGCAGAGGTCCAGAGACAGGGTGAGGAATAGCAACTGATAAGTTGAGGGGTGACCAACCCCAACTCAGTGCCTGCATGTGCCTCATTCCAAATCCTGGTAGCAGTGCTAATCAGAGGTGCTAGGCATAGTCAGGGTGCTAGGCAGAGTCAGGGCACCCCGGCCACAGGGGTGCTGGGCAGTATCAGGGATGCTGAGCACAGTCAAGGGTGCTGGGCAAAGTTGGGGGGTGCTGGGCAGAGTTGGGGTGTGAGCAGAGTAGGGGGTGCTGGGCAGAGTGGGGGCAGGGAATGGCCATCACTGACAGGCTCCCTGTGGCTGTATGTGGACAGTCTGTGGGGCACGGGGGATGCTAAGGTGTGATCCCAGGGAGTAGCCTGGCCTGGGGTGGTGCAGCAGAATGGGGGAAGGTCAGATTGGGATGTGTTGGAAGAAGGCCTGGGCCTTGCTGGTGTGGGCATGGGGTGGTGGGGGCAGGAGAGGAGTCGGGCAGAGCCGCCTGCTGTTGGGAGCACAGAGGAGGCACAGGTGGGTGCGTGGAGTCCTGGGGAAACAGCCAGGCTGGAAAGGCAGATTTGAGCCTTGGCAGAGACACTGCATCTGGGCTGTAGATTTGGAGCAGGAGGTGAAAACTGCACTTACCGAGGGGCCGTGAGCTGGGTCATGAGCGGGTGCAGACAGGTGAGGAGGGGGTGCTGAGGGAGCAGGACTGGACGAGGGCATCAGCGTAGGCAGAGGGAGGCGCAGGCCCAGTCTGGTCTGGGGACTCCAGTGGTGGGCACGTGGTGGGTTTGGGAGGTGCCGGCCACATCCTAGAGTCCAGAATGCCGAGGTAAGGGCTTGGATTTCACCCTTTGGGGAGCGGAGGAGTGACCCAATCAGATGGGAAGGCCCCTGGGGCCATAGGGTGGGCTGGCAAGGCTGGGGAAGGTTGGGAAGGCCCCCGGGTCCTGGCTGGGGGCTGAGAATGGGGGTGCTGGCTCTGTTAGGTCAGCAGGGAGCACTGGGCACAGGACCTGGGGTGCAGCATGGCACCTCAGCACATGTGAACCGGAGTGCACATGCCCTGTCACTGTTGATGAAGGTCACCGTGGTCTGCAGGCCAGGACAGTGTGGCCAGTAACAGTTACGGCAATAATGAGACCAGCTCCATTTATGGGGACCCTGCATGGAACAACTCACTTAATTCCCACTGGCCCGAGTGCTCCTGTGTGTGGAGCGCCAGGCATGTGCTGGGTGCTCTGCCTGACACTGGGACACAGCAGTGAGCAAAAGGACAGAAACCCCTGTCCCTAGAGCCCCCTTCCCATGGGAACACTGGCAGTAAATGAGGTCGACAGGCAGAATGCTGAGAGTGGGAGAGCCCAGCTAGAAAGAAGGGTGAAACAGCGGGTGGGAATGTGGATTTTTACTGCGGGGCTGGGGGCAATGGGGCTGCTCAATGAAGAATGGGTGGGGAGCAAGCTGGGGGCAGCGGGAGCTGTGTGCAGAGGCCCTGAGGCGGGAGGGAGTACCTGGGACATCCAGGAGCAGGGGCTCCCTCTCCTGAGGCTGGAGACCTAGGAGGAGTGGGGAGATGGCAGAGGAGGTCAGGGAGGTCGTGCAGGGCCTGGGGGTCATGGTGAGGACTCTGGCAATTGCCCTGAGGAAGGTGCGGGCGAGAGGGTTTACAACAGAGAAGAGGGGCCCTGACACGTTTTAACAGGATTCTCCGGCTGCAGCCGGCAGAGCAGGAGACCAGGGTGAGGCAATTGTGATGGTCCAAGCAGGAGGTGATTGGGTCTGGCTGGGCTGGTGGCCATGGGGTGGGGGCTGACTGATTCGGGACAGGCTTTGAAGGTGAAGCAACAGGACCTGCTGCTGGTCAGGAACCCTGCTGGGACAGTGAGAGGCATGGCTGACCGCACCCACCACGATCGCTCTCTGAGTCACAAAGCAGGAACCCGCGGCACCAGGCTTCTGCAACAGAGGGAATGTGTGGCCTCCCATGACACAGGGGTGAGCTCCAGGCATAGCTGGATCCAGGGCTCAGATGGGGCCAGCAGGAACCCATCTCTTCATTTCTCCATTGCCCTTTCTCGGCATGGCCCTCACCCCTTTGTGCTGTGGACCTCATTCCCTTCGTGGGGACAGGATGGCTACAGTGGCTTCAAGTTCATGCTGTCCAGCTCTGCAACCCCGGCAAGAAGAGAGAGCCCCAATGTCTCCAGCAAAAGAACCCCATGACATGCTAGGCCCCTTCCACAAGGACACACCCACCTGTCCTGTGTGTCCCCTGCCACCCCACTCCCACTCTGTCACAGCCCCAACTTCCCATAAGCCTCTCTCCTCACCAGCAGTTCATTCTTTCAGGGACAAGCTGCTGCACCTGGAAGAAGGGGCGGGAGATGGGCATGGTGTGGGGGTGCTCCAGGCAGGGGCATGGCCGAGCAGAGACGGAGGGGGACAGGGCCTGGTGTGCGAGGGAACCCTGAGGAGACTGCGTGTGGAGCTGGGCGGGGCTGAGGTGGGATTGGAGTTGGAGCTGGGCAGGGCCGCTGTGGGGAGGTCCTGCAGGGTGGGCCAGGCCGGGGCCCTGCTGCACTGTGTCGGCAGCTGCCCAGATGCCTTGGGGAGGGCTGTTGTGCCCCCAGGGGCAGGGTGGGCCCTGCCCAGAACCAGCAGCCTCTGTGTTCCCACCCAAGATGTGGGTGCTTCTCCGGTGGGCCCCTCCCCCACCTTCCGGCCACCGGGAGATGCTTGTCTGTCTTATCATCGGGGCCTGGTGACTCTGCAACCGTCTCTCCTTATCGGCAGCCCAACCAGCTGTCCATGGTGGGAGGCAGGGCTGGGCCGCAGCCTGGTCAGTGTGTCCACACAGGCACCCAGACCCTGGTCCCCAACGCCTGCTCTGTGCCAGGACCTGGCAGGCTTGGGCTAGTCCTTCCCACAGGCATCAGCTGGCAGCAGCCACTTCCCCCCAAAGGTTCCCTGTGCTGGGGGACTGGGCAGAGGACCAACCCCTCCCCTGCCTCAGTTTCCCCTCTGTGAGGAACTCCAGGAAGCAGGGGTCCCAAAACCGCTCCTCTCCTTCCCACCCATCCATAAGAGGCCGGCCAGGAGACCTTCCTTGGAGCAGCACTGTCCTTCGGGTGGCACAGGACCCAGAACCTGCTTCTCTTCCTCCCACCCTGCCCATCAAGAGCCATCTGTGCGAGAGCCCCGAGGTTGAGGGAGAAGCGGGCTTGAGTGGAGCATGGGCCCCGGCGGCGAGGGCAGCATCACCAGCAAAGGCCTGGAGACAGAGCAGGGCAAGGTGGCAGGGAGACCTGGGGAGGCCTGGCCAGTGCGGGAGTGGATCCCCCCACGGTGAGCACTGGGGCAGTGAGGCGCTGCTGACTATTGGCTATCTTCCACCCTATCATCGCTCTGCATCTGAGGCGGGTTGCCTCATCTCATGCCACACCCATTACACAACTTCCACCCAGAAGCGCCCTGCTCACTTCCTTCGGAAGCCTGCCTGAGGCTCCACCCCACCACCCTCTTCCCTGGGCCTGGCACCCATGGCCCATGGGCATCTCAAGCAATGCCCACCTTCCCTGGCCCTGCATGTCCTCTTGTGCCCTGGCACCGCAGAGCCCTCCCTGGGCCCGTCTCTTCTCTAGCTCTATCCCTCCCCATGGCCTCAGGATCCCATAGCCTTTGCTGTGCCTGTATGCCAATGACCCATCTCTGCGTCCACCCAGACCCAAGACACAGCTGTCCAGGGAGAGGCTTTCCAAGCCAAATTCCCCAAGGGTATCTGAGTTTTGGACTCAGCAATTCTGCAGTGAAGCTTGCCAAGGTGTCTTGCCCACCCCATCCTCTGCAGGGTTCCCATCTCTTGTGCCCAGCAACTCTGGGCAGAGGCTGGCCAGGGACCCTGGATCCCCTAAGTCTGGCCTCCCCTCGATCATCCAGTCAGTGCCAAGGCCAGCTGATGTAGCTTTGGGATCATCTTCAAATCTGCCTCCTCCTCCTCTTTACTGACTCCAGCCATGGCCCCACTCGCACCCCATTCCCTCTTGCCCGAGCCTGGGCATGGCGTCTCCCTCCTGGCAAACTGTGTCATGCTCCTCCCTGTCGGCCTCCAGACATGTCTTCCCCAAACCAATCTGAGCAGGTCGCTGGTGATGCTGATGATGATGGCGGTGAAGTTAGTTACGCTATGAGGTGATGATGGCATTGACGTTAGTAGTGACGTTAAATGATGGAATGATGGTGAGCTTAGTGATGGTGGTGGTGCTGATGACAGTCTGGGGACAGTGTGGGTAACTGGCTTGGGAGAGTCTTTCTTGGTAATTAACCGGGAAGGGATGGGGAAGGGTCAGGAACTTGGCCTCTGTAGCCTGGTCTGAGCCCCAGCTCTGGAGTCCTTGGGGAATTTCCAGGGCCTCTGCCTGGGCCTCTGAGGAAGGCCTGGCTCCGCTCCCCCCTTGCCTTTCTCTACCCCCAGCTCAAGGTCCTCTGGGTCCCTGCGTCCTCAGGTACCCTAGAAGGAGCTGAAGAGCTGGGAGCAGGGAGGGCCCTGCAGAGAGTGGCTGCCATGGGGGCAGGCCCAGGGTGGAAGCTTGGGAGGGAGGGAGTGGGAGGAGAAAGCTCCAGAGAGCCCCGGGGTCCACTTGTAGGTAACCACACCCCACAGACCCTCCAGCCTGCCTCTACCTTGGTAGGTTGCCCGGGGGTCCCAGATAGACATCACTCTAGGGCTGGGGCCCCAAGCCTCAGGGCATGGACAGGGAAGAGGTGAACTAGACGTTGGCGGGAGGCAGGGTTGTCCGTCAAGGACCAGAGAGAGGCAGAGGAAGTGATGGCAGATGGCAGTGAAGACAGGCGGGTCGGAGCTGGAGGACCAAGCGGCTGACTGGAGACTGCCTTGGGCCCAGCGGCCCCTCGGCGGCCCTTTGCTGGGACACACTGTGCTGGCCACAGCTCCGTTGCCTCTGTGCCTCTTCAGGTGGCTCCACAGGACTGGCCCTGCCAACGGGGTCTCCTCCCACAGGTGATGTTGGGCTGTGCAAGCCTTGCAGGGGAGACGGATGCTGGGGCCCGCCAGGTGGTGGCTATGTGGGATGCTGGAGGCTCGGGGCCGAGTCTATGGAATGACCTTGGGGGGTGAGGCCTGGCACCGTGCCCCAGGGCCAGGTCAGCCTGGGCTCCCAGCCAGGCCTTGACCTAGAGGCCTCACCTGTGGCTGTGGGATGTGGCCGTTTCTCTCTGCTGCACTGTCTCCCTCATGGGGGCCAGTGATAACGTGGGGGGAGCACGTGGGGACTGAGCAACACCTCATTCAGGGCTCCAGGGGTGTGGCCATGTGACCTACAACCTGCTGGCCTGGGTGGGCCAGGGGTTCGGGGCCGGCCCGACAGCCTCCTTTGCAGAGGGGGCCGCAGGCCACACTGCCAGGTGGGAGGTAGTGATCTAGGGTCCATGCTGTCCCTCCCAGTGCCCTCTGAGGTCCCTGCACTGGGCTTGCCCCAGGGAGCACAAGGCTGGGATGCGGGCAGGGTCTCCGTCTCCCCCACTGGTGCCCCAGCACAGTGGCAGGGCCTGTACCCAGGAGGCCTCATAAATATTCGAGCACTCAACTTGGGGCCTCTTCCCAAACGTACCTCTCCTCTCAAGTTTCACCTCTCTGTTTTCAATCCCCGAGCCTTCCCAAACGTCCTCTTCCTCCCAGGCCTCAGCTCGGACTGTCCCCTCCCCTCGGCTGCCACATCCAATCACCAACCACTGGTCCCAGGTCCTCTCCAACCCATATGGCCTCTGCCCCCTGTTTGTGTTGGGGGTGGGGGAGCCCTGACCTCCAGGCCCTGCCATTGGCTCCTTCAGGAGGCCAGAGGGGTCTCTTGAAACCCCAACTGGACACCATGCCCCATCCCCCTGCCTGTGCCCTTGTGGGGCTCCAAGGCCTCCCACACCCAGCAGACAGCCTTCTAGGCCTCCCTGGCTGCCCGAGGTCCGGCCACATTGTTCATAGCGCCCCCATCACCTCCCCGAGCATCACCAGTGCTCAGCAAAGGGAATGGAGCCCCTGTAGAGCCTTGCGAGCCCCACTCCCAGCACCCACTGCTGCCTCCGCCCCAACTCCCAGCAGCCAAGCCTGGTGCCGGCTGAGCAGGCTAATTAATGGCTCAACCCCGTTATCAGTCAAATGCTAATTACTCTTTTTAATCTGGGCTGCCTGTGTGGAGGCTCCTGGAGGTGCAGCAGGGGCTGGGGGGTCTGGAGCTATGACCTCATCCCTCCTCAGCAAGCAGGCACACGGGCCCCAGCGAGCACTTCCTCGCCACAGCCTTCACTCTGCTGTTCCCTCTGGCAGGTGCCACCCTTCCTTGCCCTGGCAAACTCCTACTCTCCCTTCAAGACCTTGCCCATGCAGCCCCTTGGCAGGAGGCCTCCCCAGTCCCTGCCTCAGAGGACAGACAAGGCTGAACTAGGAGCTGGGAGGCTGTCAGCGGGGCTGGCCTTGGTCTCTGGAAGGGAATCTGGAGATGCTAACCCCCACATGGAGGCTGCTCGGCAGAGGAGGCCAGGGCCGGGACCAACTCCAGAGTGAGCTCGGACTGACAGGCTCCTGCACTCCCCAGACAGGGGTCTGGCCCTGGTATGCTTCCTGTAGAATAGAGTGATAAGCCTCCCTTGAATCCCACCCAGTCCTGGAGAAGAGGCCCCACTAACCTGCATGCCCTTTGCCCATGGGGCAAACTAGCACTGGATACACTGGAACTGAGGCACATTTTACACATGGGGACACTGAGACATGAGGTTAGGGAACTTGCCACCACCCTGTGTACACTGGACTCGATCCTCCTTCACCCCACTCCCACACCCAAAGAGATACACACACTGACAAACACCGCAACCCTCCCAAAACACACACGGAGCACATGCAGACACGTCTGAGACATCGCGGATCCATGTGCACAGATGCACACCCAGACGTCAGCACAGGCTTGGAGATGCCTGGTGCACCAAAGCCCGTGTGCGCACATGCACATGCATGGCCAGGGCAGGAGGCCTGGGAGCACGGAAGCTGCCCCTTCTCCTGCCCCAGGCCCCCAGGGCTTCCCGTTTACGAGACGTTATCTATTGAAAATATATTAACCCAGAAGCCTGTTTCCATCAGAGTCTCGATTCCAGGGACATTTCCAGATAAGCCTTATCTCTTCGTTTGTGCATTAGCCCTGCTGGTCGGGGGCCTGCCAATCACCGCTGCCCCTCCTGCCCCAGCCCATGGCAGGATGTCGGTCCATGACCTCACTCCATGTGGGCAGGCAGGTGAGGGGGCCCAGGGCACTGCTGCCCCATGCCCCACCCCACCCATCAGCCCACAGAGGACCCCAGAGGGCACCTCTTTTCCAAGGACACGCCTGAAGCACTGGTGGGCAAGGGACTCTGGAAGAACCTGGAGCCTGGACTCAAACTCCAGCTCTATCTGGGGCAGCTGCAGGCAGCCAAGCCCTGCCCTGCCCACACCCCTGGGAAACCGGCATGCTGCTGCCACATCACTGCTGTGGGTAGATGAGCAGATTCGGTGAGTTTACCTGTGTCGGTGGCTGCAGTGAGCTTGGCCCACTGGAACCCTCTCCTACATAAAACACGCGGGCCTGGGGTTGCCCAAGGCATCCTGGGGGACGGGGGAGCCAGGGAAGGGGACGTGCATGCCCACACCTTGGCCTCAGCCAGAAGCGGGTGCTGGCACCAGCTCCTGCCCACCGTCCCGGCTAGGCTGCACCTTCAAAGGCTGCGCGCCCTGGCCCGACCCCACTAATGGACGCTCGGGTTTCCACCGATGCCGGGCCTGATAGAGGCCTCTCCTGGGGCAGTCGGCTGGGCGTTTTCAGGCCACACAGAGCAGGTCCGCCTCATTACACACTCAGGGCGCTCAGAGGCTCCTGGGAGTCGCCCTGGGCTGCCCCTCCTCCCTTCTGTGCCTCTGTGCCTCAGTTCCTCCACCCGAGCCCCCTCCTTCCCGGGACTTTGAGGAGCACGGTCTTCAGACCAGTAGGGAGGTGAGAGGTGGGGTGGAGGTGGACGCCTGCACAGAGTTCCTGGAAAAACGGCTTATTTGGGGCTGGTGTCACTTCCTGAGGGGTTCTGGGCCTTTTGCCTCTCAGTGGGAGATGTGTGGGGCCCACCCTAGGGCCGCAGGTAATGTGGGGTCAGCAGTGTGCCTGGCAAGTCTCCCACCCCCAGGGCAGCCCTCTGGCATGGCTGCTTTTCTTCTTCCATTTTATACATGGGGACACTGAGGCATGAGGTTAGGGAACTTGCCCAAGCTCACACCGCAGGCAGGGAGAGGCCTGAATCTGTGCCCTGGTGGCGGCAGCCACATTCGCCCTGTGTGCTCATCTTTCCTCCACACCTGATCTGGCCCCAGAGCCAGCTCCCATGGCTCCCATGGAAGCTCCCATGGACAGCTTCCATGGAACCCCATGCTTGGCACAGTGGTTCCACTGGGTCACATCACCCCTCATTTAGAAAGGGACAGTGACACACCCAAGGTCACCCTGCCCATGCAGGCCAGGACCTGGGGCTGAGCTCAGAGCTTTCTGTCCCAATGTGCAGGGACTCTGAGGGGGCTGGGGAGGGAGCGGTCAGGGAGGGTGTGGCCTGGCTCCCAGCTCAGCCCCACACTGAGGAGGAGGGAGGTTTCCTCGCCTAAGAAGTGAGTCCTTGGAGCTGGGTTCGGACCCAGTGCTGGCCCTCACCAGCAGCTCCCAGATCTGTGCTGGGAGGTGACCAGCCTGGACAGCACTGGCAAGTGCTCAGAGGGGCCTCTCCTGCCCCCAGGGACTGACAGGCTGGGGGCTGTGAGCCCAGCTCGGTGCTGACTGAAGCCCTCCTGGAGGTCTGCTCCCTTCTTGGGCTGCCCTCCCCTGGGGGACCAGCAGGCTAGCAGGGAGCCTGGTGTGGGCTCAAAGCTGCTGCCAGTTTCCTGGGCGGAGTGGCCTCAGTGAAGTGGCACTGCCTTCCTGGTGAAACAGTCTGCAGGGCCAGGTAGGGTGAGGAGGCCGTGGGGCACAGCACACAGTGGGGTCGGGGCACAGCACACAGTGGGGTCAGGCCCCAGGGAGAGGGGCCACTGCAGTCCCAGGAAGTGTCTGCTCAGGCAGCGGCAGTAGAGGGGGAGTCGGCTCCTAGGCAGAGGGCTGTCCTGATTCACAGTGCAGACAAGCCGCCCTGGCACCCGCAGCCTGCAGCAGCCGCGGAGGCCACGCTCACCGGGGCCACACTCTCTCTCACGTTCCTCCAGGGCCAATCCCCTCAGGGGACTGAACTGGGAACCCCACTTCCCCATGGCTCTCAGCTGTTGCCCTTGACTGCTGCTCCAGCCCTGCTGCCTGGGTCTGGGCCAAGGTTGACGAAGGGTGGCTGGGCCAGTCGCCATCGCTGGTATCCTTGCAGCTCGGGGGCTTTGCTCTGCTGTTGGTGTATTTAATTAACTGCCTGTTCCCCACCCACCACGTGCACACGGGACACACACACACACACACACACACGGCTCTGGGGCTTAACAGGCCCAAGTCATTTGATCGAAACCTGCCCCTGTTAATATTTTTAATGCCATTTGCAAATTAAAGCATAATGCACCGATTACTGGGATAAAAGGGAGGCCTCTGCGTCTGTCTGGAGACCAAATAAAGGAACGTTTGAACATCTGTTCATCCTGCAAATGTCTCTAAAAGCTTTGATTTCCCCTCAGTCTGTTGACTCCACCATTCACCCCTTCCTGAGTATCCCACAGCCTGGGGCTACAAGGCAGGGTGGTCTGTGGGTGCAGGGGATGGCAGATGGCTCTGCAGGGTGCCCTCACCATGCTAGCCTCCACTTTCTGGGAAGTATGTGGTTCTCAAACTTGAGGGCAGGGGCTGAGGGACTCCTCGTGTTGGGGTGGAGGAACAAGCCTCCACCTGCTCTGCCTGATGCTCTGGCCAGGCACCCTGCTATTCCCCAACTTCCCTGTGGGTACCTTCCCTGGACCCAGCTGCCCAGAGAATCCCCATTCTCCCTGAAGGCCCAGAGCGCCCCAGGAGCCACCTAGTGGGGTTGAGAAGCGCAGACACTCTGCAGACTCCCACAGCCTACAGACTCTGAGTTTGGGTCCCTTCCCTGGCCCCGACCTGGGCAGGAACTCTTGGGATTTCTGAGATTCCCCTTGGAACACAGCTGGGGAGGGCGGCGGACCTAGTGAAGTCACAGAGAGAGAGACACCAGTAGAGTGGGCTGGGGCCACGGGACATTTATTTGTAGCCATCAAGTGCCTGCCCACCTGGGGGAGGGTTGAGACTGGCCTGCAGGTGGCCAACAGATGGGGCAGTGGAAGATACTGGCTACCAGCCCTCTGCCCATGGCCCTTTCCTAGTTGGGCTGGGGGCTGTCCTGGGTGGGAGTGTGCAGGGGCTGGAGGAGAGACCCTCCTGGCCCCAGCAACCCATCCCCCTCAGCTCCTCACCAGGGCTCAGCACCAAGCTTGGGGGTGGGGGCTGCTGCTGCAGGACTGCAGGGAGAGACTGGGAGAGGCTGAGGCGTGGCTGGTTGGGATTTGGCACAGCAGCCTGGACTGGGCTGGGCAAGGAGGCCCTGGGGGAGGTCACCGGACACTCAGGGAGACTGAACCATGCGCTTGTGGGTGTCGAAGACATAACGCTTGAAAGTCAGGCTGAGCACCACATGCTGTGAGGGCTCGCTCCGCTCGGCGCTCTCCTCCTGCCTGGTGGCCTCCCCACGGCCAGCCCGGGCCCGCTTCTTGAGGGCGGGTGTCAGGATCTTCTTGGACTCGGGGCTGAGGCCACCTGCAAGGCACAGAAGAGAGCCTGTCACTCTGCCGTACCCCAAGCACCCGTGGGCTCCCTGCCCGCGCACCTGCTGCCTAGACTCACCCCTCTTCTGCCTCCCTCCCTAGCCAATCAGCCCTGAGGCCTGTGGTCCATTCTGACATTTTGGTCCCTCCGGCACCCATCTGATAGGTGTACAGCAGGGCACTGTGCCTCTTGGGGCCTCAGCTCACCACCCCCGTGCTCAGGCCCTGGAGGGACTGCTGCTCTGTGCCGAGTGGTCCATTGCTTTCCAGTGCACTCATGCCAAGTCCACGTCTGGAAACTCGGCATCTGAGGCTCCCTGGGTGGGGTACTCCCTGATTGCCTCTGGAGACCCATTCTCCACTTCTCCACCCTCTTGTGTGCCTGGGAGGCTGACCCCTGCAGACAGCACGACCAGGTTTAGCAGTGGAAGCCCCAACAGGCCAGAGTGTGGGAAGAGAGGGCAGTCAGGGTGTGTATCCCTGGCTCCCTTTGGCAGGCAGGACCTGGGCTGCCTTCACCCCCACCTGCCCTCAGTGGGATATGCAGGCTGCATACCCAGCTGCCCCAGTAGCAGTCCCAGGAACCACCACCCGCTGGGGCTCCCTGCCCCACGCCATTCTCACAGTGCCCCCTCGGCTCAGTTTGCCACTGCCCTGAGAGCTTGCTCCCATCAGGACACCCCAGTGGGGCCATGGGGCTCACAGAGTCAGTGGCTCATCCCGGGATCCTCTGCCAGGGGTATACGCAGCCCCGCCCCCAGGCTTGGGTGGGTGCAGCCCCCACCGCTTTCCAGCTACCTCTATGAGTTGCTTTAACCAGCCCACGCCTCACTAAAGACCTTTTGTTCAACTCCCTCCAGCTGAACACCTGAGTGGAAATTTGTTTTCTGCTGATGCCCCGACACGCACCCACTCCAACACCTCCATCTTCACCACTCTCTGCCTTTGTGCACCGTCTCTGCAGCCCTGCTGATCATGGCCCATTCCTGGGCTCCTCATTGCACATACAAGCCTGTCACGTGTTGTTCCCTCTGCCTGGAACACCCTTCCCATTCTAGGCAATAGAAGTCCCACTCATCCTTAAACATGCTGCTGCAACTGCCCTTTCTCTGGAGCTTGTCTTTTTCATTTTTAAATTGACAAATGACAAACTGTGTATATTTATAGTGTAATATATATATATGTATGTATATATATGTATATATATGTGTATATATATATATTTGTGTGTGTGTTGTGTGTGTGTGTGTGACAGGGTCTCACTCTGTTGCCTAGGCTGGAGTGCAGTGGTGTAATCCTGGCTCACTACAACCTCTGCCTCCTGGGCTCAAGTGATCCTCCCACCTCAGCCTCCTGAGTAGTGGGGACCACAGGCTCGTGCCACCATGCCTAGCTGATTTTTTGCATTTTTTTGTGGAGATGGGGTTTTGCCATGTTGCCCAGTCTAACATGATGTTTTAATATATGTATACATTTTGGAATGATTAAATCAGACTAATTAACACATTCATCACCTCACATACTTATTTTGGTGATGAGAACATTTAAAATCTATTCTCTTAGCAAATTTCATTGAATATTACACATTGTTATTAATTACAGTCACCATTCTGCACAGCGGATCTCCTGAATCGATTTCTCTGGTCTAACTGAAACTGTGAACCCTTTGACCAAGATCTCCCCATTCCCACCCCAGCCTGCACCCCCAGGCTCCCACAACCACCCTTCTACCCTCTGCTTCTATGAGTTTGGGTTTTGAGATACCACATGTAAGTGAGATCATCAGCATTTGTCTTTCTGTGCTGTGGGGCTTGTATTCATGAGGAATCTCCTGGTGGCAGCATGGTGCAGCCTCCATGTGGGCCACTGGCCAGGGTGAGACCACTTAGCAGGCTCCTCTGCATCTGTGGGAGTGGGTGGGCCCAGGGCTCGGAGCAGTTCCACCCCTGGCAGAGCACCTCAGTGTAAGCACTCACTCTGTGAGCCTCACAGCCCCACTGGGGGGTCCTGGTGGGAGCAAGCTCATGGGGACACTGTGAGAGTGGCATGGGACAGGGAGCCCCAGTGGGTGGTGGCTCCTGAGACTGCTGCTAGGGGCAGCTGGGTATGAAGGCACTGAGGGCAGGTGGGGGTGAAGGCAGCCCATACCCTGCCTGCCAAGGAGGTGTCCCACCAGGATCCCCTCCCCATGTGCACAAAGGGCCTGTACAGGCTGGGAACCTAGAGGACCAGAGCAGGGAGGAAGCTGGGCAGAGGCACAGGCAGAGGGCCCAGCTTCCTATGTGCCGTTGGCACCTGTGCCACTGCACCTGCTGGCACCTGAAGAATTTTCCTCCCTTTTCCCAGTCCTGCCCAGTACTAGCTTCGTCCCTGAAAAGTCAAGGCAGCTATAAGGCTCGCACATCAAGCTTCAGTCCGGAGGGCCCTGGCCTGTCGTCTCAGACTGGGAGCGCTGGCTGGCGGGGCTGTGTGGGTTATTTCTGGCTCAGTTTCCTGAAGATGTTGGCCACCCCTTCTTTATACGGATGAGAAAATGAAGGTCTAAGAGGCCAGTGACTTACTGGAAGCCCCACAGTGAGTTCAGAAGAGCCAGGATTTGAGCTACAGCCCTTACCCAATGGCAAAGCCAGCTTCTGCTCTCCACTCAGAGTGATGGGTGGGGGATACCCCTTTCAGAGGGCTTCTGACAATGGTTCTCAAGGCTGTGAGAGCATCGTGCACTGGCCCTGCAGCTCTAGATGTTTAAAAAGGTGACAAGGGCTCATGCCTGGAATCCTAGCACTTTGGGAGGCCGAGGTGGGTGGATCATGAGGTCAGGAGATCAAGATCATCCTGGCTAACACGGTGAAACCCCGTCTCCATTAAAAATACAAAAAATTAGCCGGGCGTGGTGGCGGGCACCTATAGTCCCAGCTACTCGAGAGGCTGAAGTAGGAGAATGGCATGAACCAGGGAGGTGGAGCTTGCAGTGAGCCGAGATTGCGCTACTGCACTCCAGCCTGGGCAACAGAGCGAGACTCAGTCTTAAAAAAAAAAAAAAAAAGTGACAAGGGTGCTGGATAAAGAGGCCATCTGTAGAGTCAGCCAGGGACAGCCTGCCCCACTGCACAAAGGGTCCGGTCTCCCTCTGGCAGGCGGAAGTGAGATTACTGGCCATCTAAAGCCTGAGTCCCCTGGGAAGACTGAGGACATGCAGCTGATATGAACGGGGCTCCAGAAGCCAGGCCCTTGCACGCCTGCCTGAGGGACATGTGACACTATGGCCTTGGGGACCTGCATTAAGGAAGCGCTCCCTGTGAGCAGCATACCTTACTTGGAGCCTGAGCGGTGTCTGCTCTGCAGGTTCCATACCTAGGTGGTCTGCCCCCCGCTTGGGATGGGGCACAGAGTGTGGGCATGGGGAGGACCCTGGCCAGTCCCCTCAAGTGAGCGCCTGGCCTGTAGGTATCTGACTCCCTGAATCAGAGCCTGGCCTTCCTTCTGCAAACAGAGCAGGTAGCTGGCAGCAGACCCCGACAAATGGCATGGGCAGCCCGTCTCCCTCTGGTGCCAGGAGGTCTGGAGGCTGAGAAGGCGTGGGGCTCCCCGGCGTCTGTGCTGGGCTGGGGAGACAGGCGTGGCCCAATCGGCAGTCCATCTCACCCGCGATGGCTCTCGTTACACACAATGCATACCTCGCACTGCCCGGAGCAGGCAGAGCCGGAAAGTCTATCTGGCACTGGTGAAGATGTGGCCATTTAATTGCTCTCCTGAGATGGTCAGGCTCGTTTACCTCTGCTCTATTATGGACTGGCCGGGAAGCCACACCTGGAAAGCCTGACCAAAGGGAGACCTGGACATGGGGCAGCATGGATTTGTGGCAAATGTCACCAGGAGCTGCTTTGTTTTCCCAGTGGCCTTTTTTTTCCTTTCTTAGCCATGTGGCAAACATAGGGAAGTGAAGAGCAACCCAGGTTGTCACGTGGTAAGAGCTGCTACCCACCCAGCCAGACTCTGCGGGTCCCACTCTCTGCTTCTCGCAACCTGCCTCTGTGCCTTTTCACTTAAAAATATTCAGGGAACATGCCAGAACAGGAGATAAATAGTGGTGAATGCACAGACCAGGGCCCAGCTCCCATGCAGTTTACTCATCTAAGAAGGCACAGACAGTGAACAAGGCAGCCAGATCTCCAGACAGCAGAAGGGTGGCGAAGGAAACAGCACCGCAGTCACTGTGTGGGGACAGGGCTGCTTCAGCATGCTCCAAGGGAGGAGGAGGAGGAGGAGGAGGAATGCTGGACCCAAGGCCAGATGACGGGGACCAGCCATAGATATTGCTGTCACGGATCCACAGGCAAAGGGAATTTGAGTGACAATTCCTAGGGTATGCGAGAGGCGCTGAGGGCAGATGAAGGCGTGTGCCATGCGTGGTGCGGTACGAGGGCCTGGCTCCAGGGTGACCACAGCTCACCATGTCCACACGGTGCCCTGTGTGCCAGGCTCCCCATTCTGACTTGGGGTCAGAGTACGCGGGAAGGCGGTGACAAGGCCACGTGCTGAGTGCCGACTGCCCATCTGCCTGGTGTCTACCTCCTGCAGGCCCTGTGTCTCCAAGGCAGGCAGGACAGGGCCTGCTCTGCCACCCGCTCTGCTAGGACCTACGCTGTCAGGGAGGTGCAGTCCTGCCCCCATCTTCCTCCCTGCACTGGGGGCTGCTCTGGACCTCTGGCCTCTGCTTGCCCCTGGCTCACAGCCCCGCCCCTGTGTCAGCCTCCTCGCTGCCCTTCTGCACACCTGGCCTGTCTCTGCCTCAGGGCTGCTGTCATTGCCAATCCCTCTGCCTGGAGACCCACCTGGGAGGCACACCTGGCCTGTCTCTGCCTCGGGGCCCCTGTCTTTGCCAATCCCTCCGCCTGTGGACTTGGGAGCTCCGGCAGCTGCAGGTTCACTTTCTTCGAGTCACTGTACAACTGTCACCTCTTGGTGAGGCCTTTGTGACCCCCTTGTTTAGAACTACAACCCCCTCATGCTCCCCTGACCCCCTCTCACCCCACTATTTTTCCTATAGCTCTTATCACCTTCTAATGTCCTCTATGATGTCCTTGTTTTGGGTTTGTTGTCTGCCTCTGCTGAAATGACAAGCTCCACCCTAGCAGGGAGTTTTGTCTATTCACTGTTGTAACCCTAACACCTGGAGTGATTGCTGGTGAGTGGCGGATACTCAGAGAACACTCTCCAAATAAGCGTTGGAGGAGACCCTGCTGGGGCTGAGGGGCAAACTGCTCTGGTTTTCCAAGAACCTGAAGGGCAGCTGTTTAAGCACTGGCTGGTGACAACCTGGGAGGGACAAAGTCCTAGATGGTCACAGTGTGAACTAAGAAAGGCACTTCTAGGAATTCGGTCCAAACAAGTGGTCTGAGATACGGCAGAAGATTTCTACACAAAGATGTCCCCACAGCACGGAGGTACTGAATCCTCTCGTAACACCGTGTTGAGGAAACAGGCACAGAAGAGTTAGTACCTTGCCCAAGGTCACAC